>NC_000002.12:196580527-196883557 GCF_000001405.40 Homo sapiens
GACAATTCCTCAAAGAAGATAGTTAAATAACCAATAAGCACATGAAAAAATGTTCAACATCATTAGTCATCATGGAAATACAAACGAAAACCTTAATGAAACACAACTTCACACCCGCTACAATGGCAAAAAAAAAAAAAAAAGTGGGAAAGAGGTGGAGAAACTGGAGCTCTCATACATCGATTAGAATATAAAATGTTGCACCTACTTTCTGTTAATCAGGTCCTCAAAACACAGATTTACCATATGGCCCACAATTTTACTCCTATATATATGCAAAAGAACTAAAAACATACATCCACACAAAAACTTTTACATAAATGTTCATAGCAGCATTATTCATAATAGCCGAAAAATGAGACCATCCTCATTGTCCATCAACTGATGGATGGATAAACAAAATGAACAAAACTCATGCAGTGAAATATTTGGTCATTTAAAGGAGTGAAGTAGTGACACATGCTACAACATGCATAAACCTTAAAAATATTATGCTAAGTGAAAGATGCAGTCACAAAAGACTTCATATTATATGATTTCATTCATACAAAATGTCCAGAATAGGCAAATCTAGAGTAGTGGTTAATAAGAGTTTGGGAGCAGGAAAAACGGGAAATAACTACTAATGGGTATGTAGTTTCTATTTAGAGGTGATGAAAAGGTTCAGGAATTAGATAGTGGTGATGGTTGCATACTGTTGTGAATGTACTAAAAAGTACTGAATTGACTGGGCATGATGGGTCACACCTGTAATTCCAGCACTTTGGGAGGCCAAGACAGGAGAATCACTTGAGGTCAGGAGTTCAAGACCAGCCTGGCCAACACGGCAAAACCCCATCTCTACTAAAAATACAAAAATAGCTGGGCATGGTGGCATGTGCCTGTAGTCCCAGCTACTCAGGAGGCTGAGGCATGAGAATCACTTGAACCTGGGAGGCAGACATTGCAGTGAGCTGAGATCACACCACTGAACTCCAGCCTGGACGATACAGTGAGACTCTATCTCAAAAAAATAAAAAATAAAAGATAAAAATAATAAGTACTGAATTATACACCTTAACATTGTGAATTTTACGGTATGTGAATTATACCTCAATAAAGCTGTTTTTTAAAATTTAGTTAGGAAAATGAACACCTACAGATAGACTTCCAAGATAGAAAATAAACTTTATTTTGTCTTATAATCAGTTCAGGTCAAGAAACATTCATTGATTTGGACTATGATAGATGCTAGGGATGTAAAGATAAATAAACCATGGACAGGCGCGGTGGCTCATGCCTGTAATCCCAGCACTCTGTGAGGACAAGGCAGGTGGATCACGAGGTCAGGAGATTGAGACCATCCTGGCTAACACGGTGAAACCCTATCTCTACTAAAAATACAAAAAATTAGCCGGGAGTGGTGGTGGGAGCCTGTAGTCCCAGCTACTCAGGAGGCTGAGGCAAGAGAATGATGTGAACCCAGGAGGCGGAGCTTGCAGTGAGCTGAGATTGTGCCACTGCACTCCAGCCTGGGTGACATAGTGAGACTCCATCTCGAAAAATAATAATAATAATAATAATAATAAATTATCCTTACCCTGAAGAAATTTAGTCTTTAACAAATACAATAAGTAGCAAATCATTAGGAAGAATTTTGGTTTCTTCACCTGGTTTTCACTCTCAAAATATGTAATTTTACCACAACAAACTTCAATTGAAAATCCAGCAAAATTCAATTTCGGTAGCCACCAAATTCAATAACCAGATGCTGAAGATAAACTAACTCAAATTCTAGCTACGGTTACACTTCTCTTCTAGCACAAGAAGGTTCCAGCTATGGTCCAGCATCCTTGCCCTGACTGCCTTGTTGCAGTGTGTGATCCTAGCTTGAGGATGCCAAGTAGTTTCTGTTTCTGTATCTCCTTGCCCTTGCCTCAACACCTGCTTACTGTTTTTACAAAACCTGGATTTTATTCCTTTAGGCACCTAACCCTTTCTTCAAACACCACTGAGGTTCTTCAGATTATCACAGATTTTAAATCAGGCCATCAAAGCATATACAGCTCCCTTCTTTTACGTCTTTTTATTTCATTTTCTTGGTAGAGATCCATAACACCTGTGTCTGGTGCCCTGCACTGAAGAAGCCAGGTATCAAAACCACCTCATACATTCAGTTGATCCAGAACAGGTACTGCGAACCAGACACAGACACCACAACAGCACGTGAATTTCGTTTGGCATGAGCTGTTCTGAAAACAGTATACTTAACCAACAAATTACACCCAAGAGATGTTTTACATACAAACTTACATGTAATTAAGTTTAGCTTCACTTGAAAAATCTGAAGATTTGGCCATGGTGGGTCCAAATTCCCATGTGGCAACAATAAGGTGAGCCAAGTGGGGACACTGCCTTTCCTTTTGATGAAGTGTGTCTCTCCATGATCCTCACCACTCCACAAGGCTACCATGCACAACACATCCAGCTGGTTTCATTTGTGACCTGTTGGCTCTGGAGGTATTGGAGTTTGAGACAAGTCCATGTTCAGGGAGTTAGAAGTTGTGTCCAATCATAAAGTGATCTCTTGGTTTAGGGTCGTATTGCCATGCTCCTCTACTTATGACAACCTCTCCTAGTTTCTCATGCCAACAACTGCTTCTTCTTCCTGTAATCACCAATCCTAAATATCACCTACATACCTGAACTACCCCAGGGAACTCCTGCAGAGGTATCTTCTGGCCTGGCAAGCTCCTATATGAAGTAGCAAAATTCCAGATCACATGGCAGAAGGCACTGAGGATCTCATCCACAGACTGATGAAATCTTCATTTCCACACTTACTTCTCTTTGAAGATAAATACTCCTAAATTTCTGAGTTCTGATGATTTAAAATGATGTTTCTCAAACTTTACTGTGCATCCAACATATGTGAGGATCTTTTAAAAATGCAGATTCAAATTCAATAAGTCTGGTGTGGTGCCTGAGATTCTGCATTTCCAACAAGCTCCCTGGTGATCCTGATGCTGCCTGGACTGTGGACCACACTTTGAATAGCAAGGAGTTAGAAGACTTACGAAGGAAGAAAGTTCTGAGATGAGAGTTATCTGAATGAACTAGGCCTCCAAGACTTGACTTTCTGACATTTTAAAAGTCCAAAATGTTAATCTTTTAGTATCCTGTGTCAATTAATATCTGATCTATATAAATAACAACCCTTCATAATGGTCCATGAAGAAGAAATAGATGGTTCCTTTAGCCATTAGGCATTGGTTATTGAATATTCACTATGTGATCAATACTGGGCATTACACAGGGGCATCTGCCAAGTTTCCATATATTTAGAGTGCTTAAAATCTAGGTGGCAAGAAGACTAATGGAAAACAATAACTAGTGTACCACCTAAAACAGCAGATGATTAAGATTTTAATTGCTACAAACGAGTGATTCCCAAGAGGGTAGCATATCAGCATCTGGGTGGAAGGCTAAACACACTGTCTCCCAACTCCTCCTATAAGATACTTACTCCACCCTTACTCTTACTGTCAATCACTGACAAGGGAAACTACACTGAATTCCAGGAATGGCATATTCTTCAGAAGGATGAGGTGGGAAAAATGACAAAAACCACTGTTTTTAAATTGCATACAGAAGGGCAATGGAGACCTGGGGCCTGAAAGAGTAAGTAGAAGTGGTGGGCATTCCAGGTGGGAGTTGCTTCCTGTGGTAAAAGTACTGAGGTGGAGATGAGTCTAGGGTATTTATGGGACAGGAAGAAGACCTGTCTAATTAAAGTAAACTAGAGTGTCCCACTCACCATCACCCTATTTTTAGTGGAGGAAGCATGGAAACTATCTCCTAAAAACCTGATGACCACCTGTTAAAAACACTGAAGAGATATTTCTTTACAGAAAGGCTAAACTAGTTTACCTCTCAGATCCTTTCCAATTTTTCCTCAAGTGCAGAACAAAATTCTGATTCTTCTCCAACCCATAATTCTAAATTGAATCACTTGTCTTGCCTGCTGTTGACCATGGCAGACAAGTGAAGAGAATGTGGATGTGTAAAACTCCCTATAAATTAAAAAAAAAAAAACCTAAATCACTGCATTAGGTTAAGCATTCCATTGCTGCTTAGCATCCCCAGTTCTCTAAGACTGTTCTCATAGGGCTATTTTCAACTCTGTCATCAATCATCTTTGTTACTCTTCCCTGAACCCTTTCCAAATTATCCTCATCCTTCTTATATAGGCAAGTGATGAATTACACTTCAGGTTTTCCCTGAGCACTCCATCTAAAGGAAGTCTCAGTTACACAACATTCTCTGCCAAAGCCCACCTCGACAAAGCACTTAATGTACTTCCAACTAGGTTTTTTCATTTGTTGCTTATGAAATATTTAAAATATACATTTAGAAGTTCATATTGTTAAGAAGTTAATATAACAGTAGCCCATATACCAAATATTACTTCCTTAATTTATGGTCAATGTGGACATCTAACTCTCTAATAAAAAAAATTCATAGTCTAAGATTGTGGCATATGGTTTTACTTGCTAATAATTTTCCCTTCCTTGTTTGTCTTTGCCATGATTCACTGTGGCCTAAGTATATTACTGAGGTATACCATACATACCAACGCCCAGATTTAACAAACATTAATATTTTTGCCTTGTTTTGCAATTATATACTTATTTATTTATTCATATATGTGTGGCCTGTTTTCCATTAGATTCTGTCTTATCTGGACAGAGCCATGTCTGATTATTAACCTCTTTTATACCCATTACTTAGCATAGAGCCTGGCATATAAGGTTCAATGAATAATGCATGAATGACTTTTGTCCTAGTATTAAATAAGGGCCATCACAATGGATGACTTATTAAACAAAAGACAATGATTCCATCTTTATTAAAAGTCCAAAGAGGGGAAAAAGGAAATGAGTCTTTATTAAAGAATGGGGTTTACATTTAAATGCATGCTATAGCTGGATATCGGACATTAGGATGAGTTAGTTGAGCAAGGTACAGAACTTCCCTTCCCTAGGGGCTCCTTTCCCTTGTTCCCTGAATAGCACATATATCTGCCTAGATAACAGTGATACAGAAGATGAGCTCTTCTAGCTCGTGTAGCTTAGAGATGCCAACTCAATGGCTTAAAGAAGGAGAGAACAAAGGAGGAGAAGGAGAAAGAGAAGAGAGGAAAAAATGGAGGGAGGAAGGGGTGGGGGCCTATACGGAGGGTATCCAATACCACTATAAGACCAGAAGAAATCATTCATTTTTTCTAGATTATGCCAATGGCAATAAAGATTATGTCCTGAAAACCTTAGAGTATGAAGTCCATTTGGATAAAATGAAGTGAAGCCTAAGGCAAAAACTTAAGAAAGATCATATCCAACTGTCAGAGAAATCTGACAGTTTTCTCTACCTCCTTCAGCCTGTACTCCCTGCCACCCAATATCTTCATGCAAAATCCTAAAAGTCTGGGTCCCTCCTGCCATGGTTCTCTACATGCTCTCAAATACCAAATATACACTCGTGTCTACTCCCCATCAAAACTTACTGGGTCTAAGTTCTATTACTTTGAGCTCTTATTCTTCTAGCAGGTCACTGAGAGATACTATGCTTATGATATAAATGGCTGTCTATTACTGAAAATATCACTTCCTTAATTTACAGTCAATGTGAACTTCCAACTCCCTAATAAAAAATTTCATAGTCTAAGATTGTGGCATATTGTTTTATTTGTTAATAATTCTCCCTTCCCTCTCTGTCCTTGCCACAGTTCACCACGGGCTAAGCATATGACTTAGGTATACCACTTGATATAACACAAATCATTTCTAATCACTGTCATAAGGAAATGTTTTTCTTGCTCCAAAGATATCTTACTCCACAGATAAAATATTACACGAGCACCTTTCCACTATGCAGCTAGCATATGTCAGCTTGGGGAAGCAGTCTTACACTCACTGCCCATCACTTTGCACAGCAAACTCACAGACACAGGGGCCACAGTTTGGTTGAATCCATAGTTTCCACTGTTTCTTTTTGTATTTCCTCAAGATCAGAGGGTATTACGTCTTCTCCATGAAGTGGGTAGCATGTGGATTGGCTTCTTTCTAAGTACAACTCCTTTTCTTCATGAAGCCATCACCTTATCTGTACCTGAGCCCAGTACCCTGTCAGTTCTGTCCCGAGCAACTTTTCCACTCTCATGAATAATGGTTAACCAAAAAAAAAAAAACAAAAAAAAACTCTTCCTATAGCACAAGTTTTCAGTGACAAATGAACAAAAGCATCACCGAGCACTCATTTCTGAACAAATGCCAAAAGCTGATTCATTCTCTGCATGACATCGGTGGTTTCATCCAACCATAAAGTGAAATATCTGCTAGCGTGCACTTGATAGTAATCGCTCTTCCACACTCCACTCCACTGATATTATGCCACAGCCAACCATGTTATTTGACAAAGGAGTTTTGTCAATAACTTCTGGTTTCTCTCTAAGGATAATGTTTGTCTTTAACTTTCCAGCTGATTTTCCAAGTGTCTCTTCAATAATATGACTCATACTTATTTTGCTACAAGGATCCTTTAATGATGCTAATAGAATTATAATCTCTTACCTACCTTTAGCCATATAATACATTAATTTTATAAAGGAAAGCATTATTGTGTGCCTGTCCTAGAAAACTTCAATAGTATAACAGAGAAGCCACTGTGCTTTGTTCGAAAATGACACAAAAACATCCATGGCTTCATGCCACTATTGGACAAAGTTTCATAACAGGCAACGATTACGGATTCATTTGGTCCTAATGGGGATAGCAAGTCCAATAAAAAATAGTTTTGAGATAGTCATTGTCATATTTCCATTTGCACTTTTCAATTTCAGCTACTGTTCTGAAATTGTCACTCTCAGAGATTCCCTTGTCTCTATACATACATATTCCCATTTTATATGCAGTGGGATTCAGTTCTCTAAGTATGTTTATGGTATTCTGAAATGTAGCATTTACAGTACTATTTTCATCACTATTTTTACACTTCAATGAACTACTTTTGAACCACTTATCTAGTTTTGTGAAATGGGAATACAATTTAAGAACAGCAAAAACAAAAAATATTCTTTTAACAAATAAAAAATAAGTAAATGATATAAAAATTATATTAACAAACATGAAGTGGACCATTAACAAAATGTAAGCTATACGCACTCACCAGTGCAGTCTTTGCAGCACAAATACAATCTTAAATATTATAATAAGTTTTAAGAACATAAGGGGATGTCTGCTGAAATCATAATTAAATGGCCTATCTCAAGGCCCTACAGGCTTTGCAACACCCACACCACCCTTCTGGTCTCATTTCTGACTTCCCCCTTGTCATTCCACCCCATCATGCTGATCTTGCAAATCTTTGAACATATCCAAACACATTCTTTTCTCAGGGCCTTTGCACTGGCCATCCTGCAACTCTATCCCTCAGGTATTTGTATTAAGCAACTTCTCTTACCTTCCGTTAACTCTTTGCTTAAGGTCTCTTTCTCCATGAAGCCTACTCAACCACACTTACCCTGTCCTACTTTCTCTTTCTTCCAAAGCACTCATCTCCTTCTAGCATCATATATAATTTAGTTATTTGGTTTATTATCTGTCTCCCACCTCCCACCTGCCTGCCCCCAACAGAATGAAAACTCTACAAGGTCAGAGATCTTTGTTTTATTCATTGATATATTCCCAGCACCTAGATCAGATACTAACCCGCAGATGGAGCTCAATACATATTACTTGAATGAACAAATAAATGAATGGATGAATGAATTAAATTTTTTCATTGCTTTTCCCTTCTAACCACCAAACTGCCTATGGATCTTACTTTGAGAATTAAAAAGAAAATGATAAGCCATCAGAGGTTTTTAAGCAAAAGAATTATATCAATAGAATGGTATTAAAATAGACAAGGTCAGGAGATGATTTAAAGTTTGGAGAGGCTAGATCCAAAGAGTTTAGTTAAAAAGTCAACCAATGAAAGAGATAAGGAAGGGCATAAATTTCCAATTACCAGGACTTCTTAAGTGGTTTATTTCAAACCTACAATTCACATATCCATAGATACATTATCAATGTTTATCTATACATACATTGCATACACACACACACACATATACGTTGAACAAGACTAGAAGAAGCTAAGGACATTTCTCATCATATGGATATAATACATATACAAGCTTATCACTTGAGTCATAGTTAGAACAGCCATAAATCCTAGTTTTCCTGGCACAGTCTCAGTTTATACTTGTTGATCTAATGCCCCTTCCAGTTAGTACCATATTTTACTCTCAAAAGTGTCCTTGTCTGGATTTTTTTAAATTACATAGTCATCCTACTTATAAAAAAGATACATAGGCCGGTCACGGTGGCTCACACCTGTAATCCCAACACTTTGGGAGGCCGAGGAGGGTGGATCATTTGTCAGGAGTTCAAGACCAGCCTGGCCAACATGGTGAAATCCTGTCTCTACTAAAAACACAAAAATTTGCTGATGGTAGTGGTGCGTGCCTGTAATCCCAGCTACTTGGGAGACGGAGGCATGAGAATCGCTTAAACCCAGGAGGCGGAGGATGCGGTGAGCCAAGATTGCACCACTGCACTCCAGTCTGGGCAACGGAGTGAGACCCTGTCTCAAAAAATAAATAAATAAATAAATTTCTTCTTATTTAGACATGCTGACCAAGCTTTTGAGGACTTCAGTGGAGTGAGTTTGGGAAAGGTGACAGCCATAATTAATTATAACATCCACTGGCCAACATAGTAAGTGAGCTGTGTTACAAACACACAATTCTTTGGTAAAGGAGCATAGCAACTACTGCAGAAGCAAATGCCACAAACTTCATATATCTAAGTTGGGTAAAGAATCCAAACCCTTGCCAGGTCACCTGCACAATCTCAAACCCCCAAGAGAATTTTCATGTGGTGAACAGACACAACAGTTCTCCCTCTCTGCGACCCCTCTGTATGAAAAGCTGAGACCCAAACCAAACACTGGAGACACAAGGGAGTACAGAAAACAAAAGCCCTCCTATTATCCTCATGGCCCTGAGAGCTTGGAAACTAAGAGAATGTGGAATCAAGTCTTCACAACAACACTTGTGTTCTGGAATCTCAGTAAATATCCAAGATCTGGACCAGACACTAGATCTTGAAACTTGCATTCCTACCTCTAAGAGCCATGGTAACCACTAGGTCTGCAAACAGGTTTTGTAGAAACTGCTCTCCCAAATCAAAGGATTTGTCCCAATTAGTGTCAGCTCTAGATATATGGACAGGTGTTAATTCATATTGTGCTTGAAGACAATAATAATATGGGCTTACAGCCACGGCAGATGCTTAGTAACTTAAGAATAAAACTATTTTATTCACTATGTGTGTAAATAGATGACAAGCAATTATCTCATTCTCCTATCTTCCTTCCTCCTATTTCATTTTTTCTTATATATTTTTCAGGTTTAAATTTTTCTGATTTTCTAGCTTTGCATTTAATAAATAAAAGACTGAAATAAGGCAAGACTCAAAATCTGGTGTCGGAAGAGGGGTGATGAAAAAAATTCAGGATTCCTTAATATCTAGGGTGACCAGATAATTATCACCCAAACCAGGACACTTTTACATGTGAAAGGGGGTGCTTTTGATAATTAAGATAAACCAACAGGAGTAAACTGGCACTGTCACAAGCAAAGCAGGGCATCTCGTCACCTTTCTAATCTCTCATTCATATCCTGATACAAAAGGCATCCTGTGTGTAATGAAGCAACCTCTGCCTCTGTTAAATCAATCAAACTTCAAACATAGTCCTCCCTCTTTCAGGCCAGGCCTGGCTTTTGATAACAGAGCTGGAAAGGTTTTCACCCAATGCTGCCATTCCCTATCCAACACACCAAGCAAAACTGGTTCCAGTTTTTCCCAAGAAAGTAGTCAGCAATGCACAAGAATGTGGATCCAGGCCAGGCCCACAGCAAGCCCCAGGCGAGAAGCCTCTGGTTTCTCTTAAAGGAACACTTCACAACAGAGAAAGCCACCTGGTTAGAGGTTACACAGATACCAACCATATAGACTTAACAAGCATTTTGAATGCAAGATCATTTCATTGATGTGTAGGCACATATTAAAACTGGGAAGATCCCAAAAGCCACCTCTCCTGCAAAACACATTCATCTAGGAGAAAACGCCAAAGCATCTGTCCTCAACTACAGGTAACAACCTTGGTTTCTTTGCCTTTGGCTGAAATCAGTGTTGCAAAAGCCTTTTAAAAGAGTAAGAAAATATAGGTTTTTCTCCCAAGATCACATTGCCCAAGTGAAACAGAACCAGTGCTTACTTTTATTTTTTGTCTCCTGTTCAGAGGGGTCAAACATTGCTCATAATCTTCATTAAATTTAGTCCTGTGGCTGGCAAATGTTAATTTACTGGAATATTTTCCTTCACATTCATAAAGAGGGAAAACTAGCTTTGTGATCTGGTTGCAATCTACACAACACATAGATAATCCACAACAGTGGTAGGCGCAGAAAAGCTCCAGCTGGTTTATCTCAAATGTTCAGAATGATTTTGATTTCTTTACCGACACCACAGCCATTCATAAAGATTCATTGCCAAATGTTGCCCAATACCGTGATAGAGGCGATGGTGAAGCGAATGTCTTAGACTGGGAAATCATCATGGTGCCCAAACCTCAGAGTCTGCGGCCAAATGGTGGGGATTTGGAAATCACCTGTCACGGAGATGGTGAAGGAAACTGGATTCAAACTAATGAAGACTAAAGTCTTTCCAGCCAGAAGACGGTTTGAGTCCAAGGGGCCATTTATATACAAGAGCTAAGAAAGGTGCAACTGATTTTCCCCCAGAAGCAGCACGATTATTTTTAAGTTCAAAGACATTTTTGTTAATAAACTGCTTCACACAACCACATCGAAGCCAAAATGTGCCAATGAAATAATCAAAACAAATAGCTCAATTGGGACTTTTTGAATGTTCAACAAAAAGAAAAATTAAAGCTGGTTAGACTGCTGGATAGTAACGTTACAGTGTCTCCTTTAAGAGATCAAAATGTCTTTGCCACCCTCCACCCCACCCTACCCCACCTCTAATAGTGAAGTGGATAATTTCTGAAGAATACAATGACCCTTTATGCCTGGCTTCTCTAGTCTGCTAGGGATGCCATCTGTCTCCCACGCTATATAAACAATCCCCGCAGGAATCTTCTGATGACCAAACAGATTAGCAAACTCCAGATTTTCACGCCATTAATAATATCCCCATCCAGATTAGGCCTTTTATTTTAATAACTCCAAAGATAAAGTCAATAACTGATCTTTCTTTCTTTGTAGATAATGTGTGTGTCATTTTAAAGATAACCTCTTGGAACATACAGCCATCTGTTGGGAAGAGAAAGAAAAAAAGCTCTCTCAAAGCAACAGAAGAAATGAACCCTCGAGGGAATAGGAGAAATAGTAAAAAGAAAATCATATTTATAAGACAAACACATGGAGAGCTCTACTAATTACACTAAAATATTCTTCTTCTAAATGACAAACTATAGAACACTACTCCAGAAAAGACAAGTTTCACACTTTCACAAAGGTATATATATACGAAAACAGTTTGCGTGAGTCTAGGACAGTGAAAGCAGAAATCATAACCCAAAAGCTAAAGGCCCCCGAAGTTTGCATGCTGTCCACCTCTATCTGTAATGATCACAAATGTTTTCCTTCCTGAAGTTTAATATCGATTGAACCCTTGTAACTCTAATTGTGAGCTCTCTGTACTGACTCCAAAGACTTCTAACTCTAAAAGAAATGTGCCTGTAAAGATGTTCTCTAAATTAATAATAATAAACGACGAAAAGCACCCGAGCGCTGCTAATAGTGAAGACAAGGCATGAGAGAGTCAGACCTCTGCAGTCTCGCGTCCTCGGAAACGTCTACGTCTAAATCTGCAGCCCCAGTTTGCTCCAGGCCCCAAGCTCCAGCAGAGGATGTTCACGGCACATTCCCAACCAAAAAGGAAATGAAGCGTCCTCTCCCTCAACTGATGCTCAAATAGACCCCAAAGTCCCAGTTTCCCTGGAGAACCAAACCATCCAACACATCCTGGGCAGCGGAAACCGAAATGGCAAATGAATGACCGCGCCGGGGCGCAAGGGAGGAAAAACAAAGCCACCTCCCGCCGTCCGCTACCTGCGGCGAGGGCCGCGCGCTCACCTGGGCTTTGCGCCCGTCGCCACAAGCTGCGGGTGGGGACCCGGCCGCGGGGCGGGAGGGCGCCCCCAAAGTCGCCCGGACCCGCGGCCCCGGCGCCCTGCGGCCGGTCCGTGCGCGCCGAGGAGAAAGCAGGCGGCCGGGGGCGCCGCCGCGCGTTGCATGCAGCTCACGGCTGCTGCGGCCGCTGCCACGGAGCCGAGAGTCTCTGCGCTGCAGTCCCCGACCCCGAGACCGCGAGAAGCGCCCGGAGAGACGCGGCGCAGGGGCAGAGCGCGCTCGGCGCGCCCCTCAGCGGCTCTTCCCGCCGCCCTCCGCAGCGGGCTGGGTCTCGGCTCGCCTTTGTGCTGGCATCTTCCTAGCTCCCAGCGACACCCAGAGCTCTCGAGGCGGCTCCGCGCCGCCACCCACCCCCGGGTTACGCCACGGCCCCCGCGCGACCCGCCGATTGTGTCGAGTCAGCAGCGGCAGCGGGGACGCGCGAAGCCATGGCTCCCGCCCGCGCTCGGGAGGGCGCCGGGGGTCCTGCGCCTCCGGGAGGTTTGTGGCCGAGCGCGGCGCGGCCCCGAGCGGCCCCGCAGCGCCCGGCTCCCCGCCGCTCGCTCTCCAGGCGCCGACCCGCCTGCGTCGCCACCCTCTCGCCGCTCCCTGCCGCCACCTTCCTCCCGCCCGGGTGCCGGGCGTCCGCTCCAGCCGCGGTGCCCCGGTCCGCGGAGAGCGAAGAGTCCGGCCTCCTCACCTCCAGCCGCGCCGGCGCCCTTCCCGCTAGACGCTTCGGCGGCATCTGCCCGCACCGCCCTGCGGGACGCTGGGCTGGGAGCTGGCGGCACGTCGGGGACCGGTGGAAGGGAGGCGGGGGCAGAGGACAGGAGGGACAGCCAGACCTTGGCCAGCGGGACCTCCCTGAGGAAGGTGCGGAAGAACGGGGCGGGTGCGGCTGGGCGGAGGACGAGTCCCGAGGCTGCGGCGGAGCCTGAGTTGCTCTCCTTCTGCGAAGTCGAAGGACAGGAGGATTCCTAGAGGTGTCGCGGAGGGTGGAGGAGACCCTCTGAGGTCGTGCAGACAACACTGTTCCTCAACCCCACCAGAAAGCTGAATAGGGGAGTGTCATGCCTCGGTTTCCCCAACTGCAAGGGCAAGACGGTAATACTCATGTCGCACACACAGGGTGTGGTCACGATGAAAAAATGGATTATTGAAAGCGTTCCCAGATACTTTGCCTAAAGAGGGCACTAAAATTTAAAATTACTGTATTAATACTTTCGGCTTTCTGTTTACTTCTATAGCATCTTCATCAACCAGTCCCACGTAGGAGAAAAAGTAAAAATGCTAAAGTGTAAATATATTGTGTCCCTCCCCACCCACCCTTGCATCTGTCCAGATTTAGGGAAGATTTATTCAATTTTACAATTTAACTATATCCATATGGAGTAAGTCCCCAAATAATGGATAGCCATTCCTTTGGGACTTTTGAGTGTGTGCTCAATATTATCCATTTCTCCGCCTTTTCTGGTAACAGCAGTTCATTATTCCTATGGGAACTGCCCTTCCCCCTCACCCACAATGAGTCTTTGTGGCTCCAGGGTACTGACACCTCCCACCCTCAACCCCCAGAACTAGCCAGTCATCTTCCGGACCGCAGTGATCGGTTCTGGGTTGGGCATGTTGATCCAGGAACTCGGCCTAGGGCTTTGGATGTATTACTGCAGAAAAATAAGCTCTTTAAACTAGGATAACTAAATTGGAAGGATATAAGCCTACGGTAACAAGGACCAACAGTGCATGCCAATGAAGCCAACTTTGAGGGAAGAAAAGCTGCTGGTGAGAGGGTGATGTCCCACCCTCTCAGGAACCTCAGGAGGTAGATGTGTCTGCAGTGAACTCTACCCTTGAAGCCAATAAATCCTCTCTCTTTTATTTCAAGTCAGTGTCAGCTGTGTTTTGTCACATGTCTCAGAGGAGCCCTGACTTCTTAGTCCCCTGGATCTATCAGCCCAGGCATCACTGTTAGGATCCTCCACAGAATCAAAGAGCCCCACCCCACAAAAGGCCCAATTCCAGTTCTTGCTGGAAGAACAGGGATCCTAGAGGTTTGTTCCCACATGATGTTCTCCTTCACAACTTACTCAAATCCAGCAACCCCACACCTGCAATCCTTAGCTTCTTTGTGTTGATTAACCACTATGTTACATTCTAGTCAAAATGGGCCAGGTGCAGTGGCTCACACCTGTAATCATGCCTGAGGCAGGAGGATCTCTTGAAGCCAGGAGTTTAAGACCAATCTGGGCAACATAGTGAGACCCCACTAACACAGGAACAGAAAACCAAACACTGCGTTTTCTCACTCATAAGTGGGAGCTGAACAATGAGAACACATGAACACAGGGAGGAGAACATCACATCAGGGAGGAGGGGCCTATCGGGGGTTGTGGGGCTAGGGGAGGGATCTCATTAGGAGAAATACCTAATGTAGATGATGGGTTGATGGGTGCAGCAAACCACCATGGCACGTGTATACCTATGTAACAAACCTCCACGTTCTGCACATATATCCCAGAACTTAAAGTATAATACATTAAATAAAGAAAGAAATAAAAATAAAAATAGCCAGGCATGGTGGCCTGAACCTGTAATCGCAGTTACTCTGGAGGCTGAGGCAGGAAGATCAGTTGAGCCCAGGATTTCAAGACTGCAATGAGCTGTGATTGCACCACTGCACTCCAGCTTGAAGACAGAGCAAGACCCTGTCACCTTGTCAAAAAAGAAGAGGAAGAGGAAGAAGAAGGAGGAGGAGGAGGAAAAAGAAAGAAAGAAAAGAAAAACAGAAAAAGAAAGAAAAGAAAAGAGGAGGAAGGGAGGAAGGGAGGAAAGGAGGGAGAAAGAAGAACCCTAAAAATGAATAGAGGCAAAGTGAATCACTATTGCTGCCCTAGGTCTTAAAAAACATTTTTCTCTCACTTTAAAAGCAGCCCCTACTACCTTTAAAACTTTCTACATATCGACCATTAAAACCGAGACTAAGGCATCAAAGAACATTAATAGCAAAGTCATCCTAAAAATCTCAAACTTGCAAAGGTGTGTAAAGATTAGGTAGGTTCTTTCACACTGCACTCCCCGTTCGTCATCACCACCACTCTCCTTCACAAGATCTCTGACCGGGTCTCACTTATCCTCTCCTGGAGCCATTCCCTTAAAGAGAACTCAGTACTTTACAAGCTGGTCAATTCTGCATTGAAACTGGCCTGACATTAGGAAGTGATCCCTTATATTGAGTTGAAATATTTCTTCCACCTGAGAGTACTCCAAGCACTGAAGACAAACTTGTGAACCACTTGAATTGTCTCTTTTCCAAGATCTTTGCATGACCCATAAGTCATGCAGGACACATGGCAATGTGTCCTGACCCTTCATCATCCTAGGTTACTTCCTTTCTACAGATGTGCCAAGGTTTGTGACTGCTCCTTCTAAAGCATATGGCCAAAGCTAAACCCAAAGGCAGATTCCAAGAAACTTATACTCCAGCCCTCTTCCAACAACACAGAAGGAGCCTGAGAGACATGTTCATGTGGTCTTATATTTTTATAAAAGCTTCCAAAGTAAGATATTTTAATCTCAAGCGATTTGCAGTGGACTGAATGTTTGTGCTCCCCCAAATTCATGTGTTGAAATCCTAACCCCTAATGTGATGGTATTAGGAGGTGGGGCCTTTGGGAGGTGATGGAATAAATGCCCTTATAAAAGAAACCCAAGAGAGCTCTCTCACCCTCTTTCTGCCTCTTGAGGATACAAAGAAAAGATGGCAGTCTGCAACTGGAAGAGGGCCTTCCCACCCACATCACAACCACACTGGCACCCTGATCTCATTCTTCTGGCGTCCAGAACTGTGAAAAATAAATTTCTGTTGTTCATAAGCCACCCAGTCTAGGATGCTTTGTTATTGCAGCTTGAATTAAGACAAGACTGCTGTCCCTTTTCATTCTAACTTCCGTGTTGTCCTAATTCCCCTTGTTCCGAAAGAAGTGGAGTGATTGTGGACATTTGTGGGGATCTGGCTAAAGGGAAGTTGAATTGGTTAAGTGGAATACATTTATGTGGTCTGTGGGCATTAAAGTTGTGACAGTGATGTCTATTTTGACTGTGCAAAGACAGTCACTTGGGCCCTTCAGTGTTGTGACACAAAGGTAAAGGGATGGAAATTATACCACCAAGTATTAATAACTGCATACTTCAGCACCCAGCACAGAAGTATATGGGTAACGGGGTAAATGATGTTTGAAATGTATGTACGGATTCAGAACTAGAATATGGAAAACCCTCCCACATCTTATTGTTTATATGTGAAATAAATTTAATAGTGATTTTCCTAAATTTTGAAACAATCCTAAAAATATGTTACTTTCCCAATAATGCATTGTGGACTGAAAAGAAACTCCTCTAAACTATCAGTAATAAAAACAAATTTTAGTCAACTTTACTAGTGAAAACACTGGAATATCTATTAACTCTATAGAACATAATGTCACAAAATCATTTTCATATGAAGAATAAATCAAAGAGTATAAAGCCAAAATACGTAGGAAAGACATATCACAGAGGTATGTCAGGCAGTTAATTAATTTAAAGATCGTGGTATTTTTCTGTATTTGGTGATCTAATACTTGTAAGGTTGTTTTGTTGTTGTTGTTGTTGTTGCTGTTTGGTTTTTTTTTTTTGAGATGGAGTGTCACTGTCGCCTAGGCTGGGGTGCAGTGGCGCGGTCTTGGCTCACTGCAACCTCCGCCTCCCAGGTTCAAGCAGTTCTCCTGCCTTAGCCTCCAGAGTAGGTGGGATTACAGGAACCCACCATCACATCTGGCTAATTTCTGTATTTTTAGTAGAGACGGGGTTCAACCATGTTGGCCAGGCTGGTCTCAAACTCCTGACCTCAAGTGATTCACCGGCCTCGGCTTCCCAAAGTGCTGGGATTACAGGCGTGAGTCACCATGCCCAGCCTTATAAGATTTTTTGAATGTGCGAATTGTTGTGATTTTTTTAATTCTGGATATATATTCTTTTCAGTACCTCATTTTGTATGTATAATGTGTATTTTTTTTTTCTTAAAAAGTGTCTTGAATTGGGAGTTCAAGACCAGTCTGGCCAACATGGTGAAAACTGTCTCTACTAAAAATACGAAAAATCAGCTGGGTGTGGTGGCAGGCACCTGTAATCCCAGGTACTCAGGAGGCTGAGGCAGGAGAATTGCTTGAACCTGGGAGGCAGAGGTTGCCGTGAGCCGAGATCATGCCATTGCACTCCAGCCTGGGCAACAAGAGCGAAACTCTGTCTCGAAAAAAGAAAAAAGAAAAGAAGGGAAGGGAAGGAAGGAAAGGGAAGGAAAGGGAGGGGAGGGGGAGGGAAAGGTGGGGGCGAGAGGGGAAAGAGAGGGGAAGGGGGGAAGGGAAGGGGAAGGGAGGAGGGGAAGGGGAGGGGAAGGGGAAGGGGGGAAGGGAAGGGGAGGGTAAGAGGGGAAGGGGGGAAGGGAAGGGGAAGGGAGGAGGGGAAGGGGAGGGGAAGGGGAAGGGGGGAAGGGAAGGGGAGGGTAAGAGGGGAAGGGGGGAAGGGAAGGGGAGGGGAGGAGGGGAAGGGGAGGGGAAGGGGAAGGGGGGAAAGGAAGGGGAGGGGAGGAGGGGAAGGGGAGGGGAAGGGGAGGAGAAGGGGAGGGAAAGGGGAAGGGGAGGGAAAGGGAAGGGGAGAGGAAGGGGAGGGGGAGGGGATGGAGAGAGGAGGGGGAGGGGATGGGGAGAGGGAGGGAAGAAGTGTCCTGAATTGTATAATCATCAGTCTCCACAGAACCTGAATCTGTCCTCAGTGTGACCTAATCTGTGTAGTATTCAAAGAACGGGAGCTTCCAGGCCAGGCACCGTAGCTCACGCCTGTAATCACAGCACTTTGGGAGGCCGAGGCAGGTGGATCACTTGAGGTCAGGAGTTCAAGACCAGCCTAGCCAACGTGGTGGAACCCAGTCTCTTCTAAAAATACAGAAATTAGCCAGATGTGGTGATGGGTGCCTGTAATCCCAGCTACTCCGGAGGCTGAGGTAGGAGAATCTCTTGAACCTGGGAAGCAGAGGATGCAGTGAGCCAAGATCACACCACTGCACTCCAGCCTGGGTGACAAAGTGAGACTCCATCTCAAAAAAAGTGGGAGATTCCAACTGAAGAGGTGACTAACTTAAGCACAATATTGCCTTGAGACAGTCATTTCTGTAGTATTTTATCTGTCAACAATCCTAAGAGAATGAATTAATAGTTACAGCCAGGGAATTTGTAGAATGACCAAAGGATATCCATTTGAATGCCAAAATATATTCTTAGATGTATTATGACTTTTCTGCCTTTTTAAAGAAAGTATACTAAAGATAATTGACTCATTATTTTCATAGTGGCTATGATTTATTTATCATGCTCTAATTCAGGGATACTCTTAGAAGCTTCTATGTAGAAGTGGTCTTGCCCTTAGACTAAATGGCCTCAGGCTTCTATCGGTTTTTTTGTTATTGTGGTACTTTAAGAGTAACTTTTTCTCTAGGACCTCGCATTTTTTTCCTGTCACCGCTCATTTTTTTCCTTTCTTGATAATCTTTCTTATCTCATTCTAATTTCCTGCTTGTGGTTTTATATGGAATTGATAGACTAAATAAATATTAGAACTTTGTCTAAAATGGCTTGTGGGAGGGAGGAGGTTCAGTGGATAATGGACATGAACTTTGGTGCATAAATTTCGTGATATCTATTTTGGTTGCTCAGTATCCTTTCTTTCTGTCTTCCAGTTCTCACTCATTACCAATGATGAGAATCTCTGGGTTCTCCATTTCACATATCCTTTAAGTAAATATTTAATAACCACTTACTAATGAGAAAGGATCTCTTCTAACTATTGAGGATGCAGAGGTGAAGGGAATAGACAAAAATCCCTGCCCTTGTGATGCTGATTTTCTAGTGGGATAGGGAAGCAGAGATCAAATAATAAGCAACATGTGGCAGAGTATCAGTGTTTACAAAATCCATATGCTCTTCTACATTTTCCATCCTCGTTTGCAATTAGGATAGCCATGTGACTACTTCTGGCAAATAGAACTTAAGGAGTTTTGATGGGGCTCACTTGTGGCTGTGAAGATTAAGAATATAGTGTGACTTCTCTCATTCTCTTTGCCTTCACTGGAAACCACAGGGGCCATGTGTTGAAAAGGTATCCTCACAAAATGGAAGGAGACTGGATCCCTGAGCCATCATTTGGTGGGGTCCTGTAATGTGAGCAAGAAAGAAAGTGTTAAGCTACTTAGATGTCACCCACACTCAGAGACTTCACTCATTTGTCTGCCTAAAATGGATATTTGGTGACCAGAAGGCAATATATTGGTCTTTACCAGTAACTATGTCCTTCTATATGTTTCCGAGGCTTCCTTGTGTTAAATGGCAATGTGACTAACTATCCAATGAAATGTGAGCAGAACTAATATGGGTCACATCTGGGCCGAGATGGTGAATTACATAACGTGCCTTCTCTGTCTCCCTTTTCCCCTTCCCTAGAGACCATGAAAGGCCACATTTTGAAAGATAGCAGCACTGCAACATGAAAGTCTGGCTTTCTGAGTTCCACTTGGAAAAGAGCTACCCAAGAGAATAGCTCCACTTACCCCTAGACTTGTTACATGAATAAGAAATAACCATTTCTCATGTTAAATCACTCATATTTAGGAGTTAGTTGTCAGAACTGCTAGTGTTACTGATCCTAAGCACAAATAAATCTAAAAATGTAAATTATGTTCACATAAGTATAAGAAAAGAAGATAGAGATAGAAAGTTTTCAAGGGGTTGGAATATTAGATAGTAAACACCCTCCCTGAGAAGATGACTTTTAAATAAAGACCGGAGAAAAAGAACCAAACAAGCAGTCATGTGGGGGGAGAGCATTCTAAGAAGGAGAAACAGGCCAGGTGCAGTGGCTCATGCCTGTAATGCCAACAGTTTGGGAGAGCAAGATGGGAGGATCATTTGAGTCCAGGGGGCTAGGTGAGGAGATTACTTAACCCTGGGAGGTCCAGGCTGCAGTGTGCTACGATCATGTCACTACTGTACTCCAGCTTGGGGAACAGAAGAAGACTTTCTCAAAAAAAAGAAGAAGGAGAAGGAGAAGAAGGAGGAGAAGGAGAAGGAGAAGGGAAACAGTAAGTACAAAGGTGCTGACTGTATCAGAGATTCTGTCCACCATCACCTTGTTTTTAAGATTCTTTACAGTAGTATTTGCCCATACCAAGTTTCCAAAAAATATATTATTTTTATGAGCTTCATTCATCCATTTATTCAAAAAAGTTAAGTATTCCAGTATTCCAGGGACTAATACAAAGATATGAGTTTAATGTAAATATAGTTATGATTCTGCTGCAAAGGTATTATTACTATTAATACTTATGTTTCATTTTGTTTTGTGTGTATGATTTCATCTTTCCTGCTTGGTAACAAAAACTTTTTTTTAATCTAAAAAAAGAAAGCCAACCTGATAAAATTAGTTGGCTGAAAAAATATAATGGTTAAAGGATTCTATTTAGATTAATTCTCAACTTGTTTAGTTTGGCAAGCCTCAGTCTCCCAGATTTGTCTCCACTCTCAAGCTAGTGGCTGGGAGGAAAGGTGGCAATGGTGGCTTCTGTGATTGCATGACAGCGGCTGGGTTGCTGGATCCAGCTGTCCTCATGGCATCCTTGAGCGTGCCGGCCTGTCATGGGGAGTGGCCATCTGGGTTGCCTGGACTGCAGAAGGTTGACTGGTCCCACCCTGGTGATTCCACTTATAGCAACTGACGCCTGTGGCTGCTGTGACTCACAGTTTGATCTCACAGTTTGATCTCTCAGCTTGCACGGGGCCCTGCATTGCTCCCTAGCGGATTTGACCTCCTCATAGTTGCTGCTGCTGCTGCTGCTGCTGCTGCTGCTATAGCTTCCTCTAACATTTAGTCACATGTGCCATCAATTCCATGGCCTGGGCTCAGTAAATAAAGTTAAACTCAGAGTTTCTCTCTGCCTAACCATGACACTGCACCCCTGAATTTACTTGGCTACAGCTGCTCTCAGGTTGGCAACAGGGCATCCTGTAAGGCAGTCTCCTTCCTAACCCTTAAATATAAGCTGAAGCAAGCGTCCCTGCCCTAACATATCCACTCTTCTGGGCCAAAGCCCAGAAAGGGCATATATTTTGAGGAATACATCTGCCACACGGTGGGCCTCTCCTGTCTGCCTTATCCCATGACCTGCGAGACCTGGAAGAGATGTCTTTGCTTTCACCGCCCCTTCCTGTTTACCTACGACTTCCTCTGGTCAGAAGCAGAGCCTCTGGGCTTCCCAGTGCCTTTATGGCATGTGTTCCCTCCCAAACGCAGCCACACTGCTAAGCCTCCATGGAGGTAAAGATGGGGAAAGAGGTCTGCTAAACAATGAGGGAAACTAAATCAGGAGGTATTTTTAAAATATTACACTCGCATTATTGGCAAAGGGTATTGAACTCAGTAAGTTCACTATATAATTTCTCTTTTGAGGAATTAGTTGCACTATTATTCTAACTTAATTGTGAGGAAATTGAAGCACAGAAAGGATAAGTCATTTACCAGGATCAGCACCAGGTTTTGAACTCCTCGTGCAGTGGTTTTTCTACCATGGGGTATTGTCTCTTGTGTTAAGCTAAGATAGCTTTAAAATTACTTCTTTCCTGAAGACACCTCAAATTAATCTCACTCTCATTCAAATTACTCGCTTGCTCAGATTTCTTTTGCATTTGTTTAAATCGTTTTTTTAAAGTTTCTTACCTTCTTATTGTTTTTATTTGTTAGTATATTTCATGATGCTACTACCCCCTTATAGCATTTTCAGTAATATTTATATAGGAAAATCCCCAAATCACTTTTTGAATGAATATATATCTTCACGACTTCCTGAGATGAGAAGGCAAAATAAACAAACATATAGAAAGAGATCCCTGAGAGGATAATACTTTGGTTATTATCCTCTAATATTTGGTTACCATCTATAACAATATGGGTGAATCTCTTAAGCATAATTATGCATCTAAGAAATATCAGCTGGGCAAGATGGCTTATACCTGTAATTCCAGCAATTTGGGAGGCTGAGGTCACATGAGGTCATGAGTTCGAGACCAGCCTGGCCAACATGGTGAAACCGCGTCTCTACTAAAAATACAAAATTAGCCAGGCGTGTGGCGGTGGGTGCCTGAATCGCAGCTACTCAGGAGGCAGAGGCAGGAGAATTGCTTGAACCTGGGAGGTGGAGGTTGCAGTGAGCCGAGATCGTGCCACTGCACTCCAGCTTGGGTGACAGAGCAAGAGTCTGTCTAAAAAATATATATATATGTGTGTGTGTGTGTGTGTGTGTGTATGTGTGTGTATATGTGTATATATGTGTATGTATGTACATATGTGTATATATGTATATATGTGTATATATACATATAGTGAATGCTTTAAAAAATCCAAAATGTATAATATAATTTACCTATTTTTTCTTGTTTATAGAAAAATATATCAGATCAACTCAGCAATTCCCCTTGGCTCCAAATTCTAACCTAAAACTTGATTCTGTTTGTTGAGAAGAAGACTGGGTGATGCTACAGTTTTTGGCCAAAGGAAAGACCTTTCCCAGAAGCTGTATCATTACTGAAACTTGGGCCAAGGAGTCTATGTTGTGATTTAGGACACAGAGGTGACAGCTGATGCAGCAATTAATCTAAGGAGAGCTAAATTGAAACAGAAACATAGAAAATACATTGCTAAATTTAAAGTGTGAGGTCCTAGAAAAATCATATAAAATTAAGAATTTTAATTATGGTGTCATTTTTAGTGTTATTCTTTACCTATGTCCTGTGCCAATGTTATACTACACAAAACTTATCCTTTGGCACTGGTTGTCTCTTATGCCAAGCCAATTCTCTGGGACCCATGTTCTACCCTTCCCTGCCCTTCTTTGAGTCCTGAAAGGCTGACACTATGGACTGCACAACAGGCTCTCTTGCCCTCTGGAACTGGGGGAGGTTGGAGAGGAGGGAGAGAGAAAACTGAGAGTGGCCGGGCGCGGTGGCTCATGTCTGTAATCCCAGCACTTTGGGAGGCCGAGGCGGGCAGAACGCAAGGTCAAGAGATGGAGACCATCCTGGCCAACATGGTGAAACCCTGTCTCTACTAAAAATACAAAAATCAGCTGGGCATTGTGGCACGCACCCGTAGTGCCAGCTACTTGGGAGGCTGACGCAGGAGAATCACTTGAACCCAGAAGGCAGAGGTTGTGGTGAGCTGAGATCGTGCCACTGCACTCCAGCCTGGGCAACAGAGTGAGCTTCTGTCTCAAAAAAAAAAAAAAAAGAAAGAAAGAAAGAAAGAAAAGAAAAGTGAGAGTGATTTTTTCCTCCCCAACTTCCTCCTCGACTTGGTGATGCAGGTCCAGCATCCCTCCTGTCAGTCCATGCCCCTTCCACTGCCCCAGCCCTCTCTGGACTCCAGGGACATCCTTGCCTTCCCTCCTCCCTTTGTGCCTATGAATAGTAGCAGCATCCCAGTGTTGCAGATCCCTGGGTGCTTCAACATTCCTTGTTAGTTTTCTTAACCCTGCCCAAGCCTCTGCGAATAGATGTTTCATGACATTATGTACAACATCCCAGCTCAACATGCCTTCTATTTTCTGCTGAGCTTTTGACAGACATTCTTTTTCAGGATATTTACACTCCAAGAAATGATAGATTCAGACACAGTTAGAAGTACATTTAGAGTAGACAGTCTTTACAGTTCAGATTAATAGAGTTTGAGTCAATACAAACCAAATCAATTGCCATCAGGTCATTTGAGACCTAGCTTCATTGAGAATTTTTACTTACATTTTGAAGGTTCAAAAATTTTAATTTTATCAATTTACCTGGAGATAATGGAACCATAGGGAATCTATTTATGTCAAACAAACCCATAGGACACTGAGTGATAATTCCAAAATTCAATTTATTAACTTGCAGAAGAAAATCTCTGGCATCAAAACTATTAGGCCATCCACCCAGGGTTCTCCCTTCTGGTGGGTAATACTGTTTAGAATCTGAAATAACAGATCAGATGTTTGTATCGTGTTGAGCACAGAGTTAGAACTAGAGGCGCTGGATATTTTTAAGGGAGTTTCCCATGAATTTATGTTGACATATGAATTGCTGTTATATACACAAGTATATGCCTACATTTAAAAAACAAAAAACAAAAGCAAACACAGTACCTACAGGGAACACTATACAGTAATAGGGATAAACAAATTATAACTACATACCAATACGTCTTGACTTATGATGGGGTTACATTCCAATAAAACCATTGTAAGTTGAAAGTGGGTTTTGACTTACAATATTTTCAACTTACAACAAGTTTATCCAGATATAACTGCATCATAAGTTGAGGTACATACTGAATGCATGTTGCTTTTGCACCATGGTAAAGTGGAAAAATAATAAGTAGAACCATTGTTAAGTCAAGGTCTGTACAACCATTGTCTGAAACAATATGGTTGAATCTCCCAAGCGTAATGTTGAGCGAAAAAAGACACAAAAAAGCATATATTGTATGGTCAGGATAGCAATTACCTTGGGTGGGGAGGTTATGATTGAAAGAGAACCATGAGAGGGGATTCTGGGAAGCTGGTGATGTTACCTTATATAATCTTGGTGCTAGTTATACAGGTAGATTCATTTGTGAAACTTTATTGAGCCGTACATTTACAATAGGGGCTTACCTTTTGTATTTATATTGGAAGCCAATGAAAAATTTTTAAAAATTACCAGTACCACTTTTAGAACCAAAGCTTGCTCTCTTTCGGAAAATGCTATAGACCTACTGACAAACTACCACCCAACTTCTCCAAGGGGATACTCATTGATAGTACTAAACGCTTCTTCCGTGACATTATTTCAAGTAATAACATCCAGTGTTACAACTATTTTACATTAGCCTCTTATCATTTTCGGATATCTTCCAGATGAAACATAACACTTTTCTGGATGATAACACTCTTTTCCCATTCACAAAAATGCTTAGAAATCATTTCCTAAGCTTGGCTATTTCTGGAGAGTCCCATTGATGTGTTTCAATTTTTAATCTCATTATTTATATGTTTATATGTCTTCTTGATACATAAGAGCAGTGATTTGTAACCAGATGTGTGCCTTGGAATCACCACACACACTGAATCAAAGCCTCTATACTTAGAGTCTCTGCTGTGCTCTGAATGTTTGGGTCCCTCCAAAATTCCTACATTAAAACCTAATGCCTAGTGTGATAGTGTTAGGTGGTGGGGCCTTTGGAAGGTGATTAGGTAATGATGGAAGAGCCCTCATAAATGAAATCGGTACCCTTATTTAAAAAAAAAAAAAAAGCCCAGGTATCTTGTTTGCCTCTTTCACCATGCAAAGACACAGCTAGAAGATACCATTTATGAACCAGGAAATGGGTCCTTACCGGATACCAGCTCTGCTGGGGATGGGATCTTGGACTTCTCAGCCTCCAGAACTGTGAGAAATAAATTTCTGTTGTTTATAAGCTACCCAGTTTATGGTATTTTGTTATAGCAGCCCAAACAGACTAAGACAGTCTCCTCCCACTTTCTTGTCATACATATTTTGAGAATATGTCCCAGGTGAATTGTAACTTCCATAGTTAAAAACCATGCTCCTATGTGAACAGATATTTATATGCCAATGTTCACAGCAGCATTATTCATAACAGCCAAAAGGTGGAAACAACACAAATGTCCATCAACAGTGGAATGGACAAATAAAATGTGGCATGTACCTACAAAGGAATATTATTTATCCTAAAAAGGAAGGAAATCTTGACTCATGCTACGATATTAGTCCAAGTGAAATAAGCCAGACACAACAGGAAAAATATTGTATGATTCTATTTATATGAGATACCTAGAGTAGCCAAATTTATAGAAACAGAAAGTATAATTGTGGTTGCTAAGATCTTGCGGGGGGCACGGAAGTGGAGTTGTTGCTTAATGAATACAGAGATTTGTTTTGGAAAGGTGAAAAAGTTCTGGAGCTGAATGGTGGTGATGGTTGCAAAACAATGTGAATGTACTTAATGCCACTGAACTTTGTATTTTAAAAAAGATGGTTAAACTTGTTAATTTTATTTTATAAAAATAAAATTATGCACACACAATACTATTTTCCTGTAGTCTTATTTAGCTGACTTTATACCAAAATAAGCTAAGGGGGTCACACTATTGGAGGAAAATCATCAAATCAGGCCTGAGGGACATCTAAGAAACTACCACGGTGCCAGCAGCTCCCCATTTGAAAGCCAGCATTTTTCTCAGCTTTGCATATGGACAGAGATCTGCACCATGGCCGCTTTGGTTTTTGTTTATTTTGTCTGGCTGTTGACTTGTGGGACCAAATATTGTGTGCTCAGCCTACTGGCTACATCTGGTTCCTTTAGCTTGTTGATTAAAAGCAGCCTCTTATCTCAATGAACTCCTTAGGAAGCTAAGCCCTATCTGGCAACGGTTGCCATGCCAGAGGGACTTTGTTTAAACATCATTCAAGAAATGAAACTAATGAGCATTAAAGAAACCTCACAATAATGAATTTCTTTTCACTTTGCCTTAACTCTTTTAAAGAAAATATTGTTTTTCTCTGAGCATAATATAATTATTTTTAGTAATGAATAGTTTATTATTTTACGCATTTGATTCTTTTCATTTAGTTTATTTATAACAAGTTTTGTCTTACCACTCAGCTGTCAAAAGACACAGGAAAACCTTCCTGGCCTTCCCATTTAGGGGAAGAATGCTGGTTCATTATGACTTCATTGACATTCAACATGCAAACTTCTCCAAAATGCTTAGTATGTATCAACAACATTAGAAAATTACACTGCGATTAAAATTGTCCAAATACTCTTTTTGTAACCATTGTATTCATGACAATCAGACTTTCATTGGTAGCTTTTCTAATATAACTATAAGCTCTCTAACCACTTCTTGAAATCCAGTTGCAAATATTTATTTTTTTCTTTTATTAACTAAAGCTGTGGCAAATATAAGGTGCTATTACTCCTCTTCCTCACTCCACCATTACCACCAGAAAAAAAAAAAGGCCTCTTATGAGCTAAAGAATTGATGAAAATGACAATGTGGGGACTTTTCCACCAATGTGGTTCCAAATTAAAGTGCATTGACTTAAGGCAATTATCTTTTTAGATGACCCATACTTTTTTTTTTTTTTGAGACAGAGTCTTGCTCTGTCACCAGGCTGGAATGCTGTGGCGCAATCTCAGCTCACTGCAACCTATGCCTCCCGGGTTCAAGCAGTTCTCCTGCCTCAGCCCCCCAGGTAGCTGGGACTACTGGCGTGTGCCACCACGCCCAGCTAATTTTTGTATTTTTAGTGGAGACAGAGTTTCACCACATTGGCCAGGATGGTCTCAATCTCTTGACCTCGTGATCTGCATGTCTCAGCCTCCCAAAGTGCTGGGATAAGCCACCATGCCCGGCCTAGAGGACCCACGCTTTTATGGTTAGAAGAATGTAATGGTAATTGTCTTCTCAACTGGCTGCACCCAAGGAGCAGTGAGTTTGGGAAATGCACAACACTTCAGACATTTTTTACCTACCACTCCAGCAGAAACTGATAGAGTCTATTTCCTTGGTAACAGAATATTGACTTCATCTGGTGCAATTCATTAGTTTCCTGCAGCTGCTGTAACAAATGACCATAAATTTGATGGCTTTAAAAAGCCACAAATTTATAATCTTGCAGTCCTGGAAGTCAGAAGTCTGAAATCAGCTTCACTGGACTAAAGTCAAGGTGTCAGCTGGTCTACCTTCTGTTGACTCTATTTCCTTGTCCTTTCTAGCTTCTAAAGGTCACCTATCTCCTTTTGCCTGAGACTCTTTCTTCCATTTTCAAAACTCATCACCCCAACCTCTATTTTCAATCTCTATTTTCATTGTCCAACTTCTATTTCCTTCTTCTGCTTTTAACCCTCTTTCTTCTGTCTTATAAGGATCCTTGTGATTACAATGGCCCCATCTGGATAATTCAAGATAATCTCTGATATGGTTTGGCTGTGTCCCCACCAAAATCTCATCTTGAATTTTAGCTCTTATAATCCCCACATGTCATGGGAGGGACCCAGTGGGAGGTAATTGAATCATGGGGGCAGGTTTTTCCCATGCTGTTCTCATGGTAATGAATACGTTTCACAAGATCTGATGGTTTTATAAAGGGCAGTTCCTCTGCACATGACCTCTTCCCTGCCACCACGTAAGATATGCCTTTGCTCCTCCTTCGCCTTCTACCATGATCATGAGGCCTCCCCAGCCATGTGGAACTGTGAGTCCATTAAACCTCTGTTTCTTTATAAATTGCCCAGTTTTGGCCAGGTGCAGTGGCTCACGCCTGTAATCTCAGCACTTTGGAAGGCCAAGGTGGGTGGATCACGAGGTCAGGAGATCAAGACCATCCTGGCTAACACTGTGAAACCCCGTCTCTACTAAAAAAAAAAAAAATACAAAAAATTAGCAGGGTGTGGTGGCACCCACCTGTAGTCCCAGATACTCGGGAGGCTGAGGCAGGAGAATCACTTGAACGCGGGAGGTGGAGGTTGCAGTGAACTGAGACCGTGTCATTGCACTCCAACCTGGGCAACAAAGCGAGACTCTGTCTCAAAAATAAATGAATAAATAAATTACCCAGTCTCAGGTATGTCTTTATTAGCAGCATGAGAATAGACTAATACAATCTCCCTATCTCAAGATTCTTAATGTGATCACACCAGCAAAGCCCCTTTTCCATATAAAATAACATATTCACAGGTTTCAGGGATTAGGGTGGGCACTATTCAGTCTGCCACATGTAGCTATATCACCATCTAAAATAATACATTTATAAGTATATTCCAGATACAGTTATAATATTAAATTTTGGGCAATAATATGCAAATAGGTGGGCCTTTGGGGAAGAATGGTTAAAGGATGTTGATTTAGCTGGAATGTACACTCTTCTCTTCTTCCTCTTTCCTTCCTCCCTTCTGCCTCAAACACAGACATAATGGCTGGAGTCCAATAGTACATTGGACTGTGAGATTAATACTGGGAATGTAATCTATGTCTAGGATAGTGAAACAAAAAAGGTAGAATAAGCCTAGGCCTTTGCAGGGCCCCTATACCCCAGTCTGAACTGCCAAACTCTGCGCTTATTGCATATGAGAGAATAAACTCTTGGGTACATAAGTCACTGTTGATGTCCATGTTACTGTCAGCCAAACACAATTCTTGCCTAACATCAACAAACTAATTCAGCAAATCTACCATGTCAGTTGGCCCAGGGGTATTTGTCGAGAGTCACACTGCACTGTGTGCCTCTGTATCAGCTGAGCTATCAAACTAAACTTAGCAAAAAGGAAAAAGAGTATGTAGGCCCTATAACTGAAGCCTTCAGTTAGGGCTGGCATCAGGCACAGCCTGACTTAGGTCAAACTAGAACACTAGGACCTAGGTTGACTCTGCCTCTTTGGGATTTCCTCATCAGGCTGTCTGCTGTTATGGTAGCAAGATGGCTGCAACAATCCCATCTTCCTCATACCTTTATTTCCATAATCTCAGAAAAAGACTGAAAGCCTCTCTTTTACTGAAGCTCCTACAAGGTCTTCTATCAATTATTGATTCTGATTAAGTGTGAATTTCCTGGTCTTGCTCTGTCACCCAGGCTAGAGGGCATAGCTCACTGCAGCCTCCTGCTCCTGGGCTCAAGGGATTCTCCCACCTCAGCCTCCCAAATAGCTGGGACTACAGGTGCATGCTACCACACCTTGCTAATTTTTTTTATTTTTTGTAGAGACAGTGTATTAGTCCATTCTCACACTGCTAATAAAGACATACCCGAGACTGGATAATTTATAAAGGAAAGAGGTTTAATTGACTCACGCTTCAGCATGGCTGGGGAGGCCTCAGGAAACCTACAATCATGGCAGAAGAGGAAAAAACTCATCCTTCTTCACACGGAGGCAGCAAGGAGAACTGCAGACCAAAGGGGAAAACCCCCTTATAAAACCATCAGATCTCATGAGAACTCACTCACTACCACAAGAACAGCATGGAGATAACCACCCCCCCACCCTCTGCATGATTCAATTACCTCCCACCAGATCCTTCCCACAACGTGTGGTGATTATGGGAACTGAGATTTGGATGGGACACAGCCAAACCATATCAGACGGGTTCTGGCTATGTTGCTGATATGGTTTGGCTGTGTCCCCATTCAAATTTCAACTGAATTGTGTCTCCCAGAATTCCCACTTGTTGTGGGAGGGACCTAGGGGGAGGTAATTGAATCATGGGGGCAGGTCTTTCCCATGCTATTCTTATGATAGTGAATAAGTCTTACGAGATCTGATGGGTTTATCAGGGGTTTCCACTTTTGCTTCATCCTCCTTTTCTCTTGCTGCCACCAAGTAAGAAGTGCCTTTCAGCTCCTGCCATGATTTGAGGCCTCCCCAGCCATATGGAACTATAAGTCTAATCAAACCTCTTTTACTTCCCAGTCTCAGGTGTGTCTTTATTAGCAGCATGAAAACAGACTAATACAGTTGCTCAGGCTGGTCTTGAACTCCCGGTCTCCAGCAATCCTCCCACCTCAGCCTCCCAAAATGTTGGGATTATAAGCTTGATCCACCGTGCCCAGCCTAAGTGTGTATTTCTGAACCAGTCACCTCAGGGGAAAGAAGCCGAAATAGGTTAATTGGTTTGGTTTATGCCAATCAGGATCTACCTCTATGGATGGGAGTGGGGTCCATCCCATACAAACAATATGGCTGAGAACCAGGGAGGGAATCATAAAGTGCCATAGTATGCAAGTACATGAACTCAGAGGTTGTGTAGAACATTTAAGGTGGCAGCAGACCACTTTCCTAAAAGATTTTTCCAGGAACCCAGAAAGAGAATTTGCACTATCTCGTGAGAACAACAGGAGTCTATCTCTGTTATATGTATAGACTCGGCTACTTTTTTGGACAACTAGTCTAGGTCCTTAAATGTTCAGTCTTTGTTTTCCCTTTTCTTAGACCATGTACACCAAATTCTCATTCATCTGTACAGCCAACCTGTTATGCAGAATAGATTCTTTTACAAATAGATTCAATCCAAAATAAGGTAAATTTTATTGCTTACTTTTTCAAAAATATAGAAAAGAGGTATGCAGGTGTCTATGACTGAGATTAAACAAACAATTAGCCATATTTATTTCACATTTTTTTATAAGTTAAATACTATTTTCAGAACTAAGCAAGAAAAAGTCCTAAAAAGAACTAAGCTAAAAAGTCCTAATTCCCATTTTCCCTCTCTTCCTCAGAAATAACCACACCCTGAAGTTGATGTATATAATTCCCATCCTTTATTTGTGGGTTTTTTGTTTCATTTTGGTAACAGTTTTCTTCATGTGCATATATTCAGATACAAGATATACTATGGTTCAATCAGTTAGTATCCCAGCAAGAAACTGATGGCACACTCAAAGGGTCAATTAGAGATGGAATAAATAGAGGGGTAATTAAGGGATTATTTAAATAGAGATTGGCAATTTCAAAGAACAAGAAGACATGGTAAAACGTCCAAGGAGTGATGACAGTGGGAGACCCTTACCACCTCTGAATATGAAGGGGGAAGGGGAGGGAGTAATGATCCCAGGGCCTGGCATGGGCTGCAGCAGTGGTACAGGAGTCAGAAAAGAGCTGAGAACTTCAGCAGAGAAATTAGAGGATCTCGCTTGCTGCTTAAACCAAGGCCTGCTAGGAAAATAAATACCAGGCCCTCTTTCCTTCCTCCTCTGATCTCCTGTCTGTGCCTTTCATTGACCAAAACCAACCAGAAGCCAGGAGAACCTATAATATATGATGCTGTCCTTAAAGGTCAGTTTCTTGCACCACAGAACAGGAAAGAGAAGGGCAGAAAATTGATTTGGAAAGGCAAACAGATAATTATCAATGTGATTGTTTTGTACTTTCATAATTAACACAAATATTAGCAGATAGTACATAAACTTAATTTTTTTTTTTTTTTTTTTTTTTTTGGAGACGGAGTCTTGCTCTCTAACCTAGGCTGGAGTGCAGTGGCACAATCTTGGCTCACTGCAAGCTCCACCTCCCAGGTTCACACCATTCTCCTGCCTCAGCCTCCCAAGTAGCTGGGACTACAGGTGCCCGCCACCCGCCCGGCTAATTTTTTTTTTTTTTTTTTTTTTGTATTTTTAGTAGAACCATGTTAGCCAGGATGGTCTCAATCTCCTGACCTTGTGATCCGCCTGCCTCGGCCTCCCAAAGTGCTGGGATTACAGGTGTGAACCACCGCGCCCGGCCTATAAACTTAATTTTAAAATGATGTGTTAACTACTTCCTTCCATACAACCATAAACTAAAAATCCAAGTTATTAAACTACAAGTTTGATTTCTGACACTACAGTTGTTTACTACTATGCATTGGCAACAAAAGAAAAGAGAAAGCGATGGAGAGAGAGAGAGATTGATTCCAGAGTTCCCTGAAGAAAAGGGTAGACTTGTTTTTCTGCTCTGATGTTTTAGGGAGGTAGCAAGACAAGAGAAGATTTGTCTTCTTGTCAATTGAACAACTTCAGAATTGCTGAGTGTTCTATCCTTCACCTTCCCCTAGTGGGAAACAGAGATACGACAGCAGAAACAAATGCTGTTAGCAAATAAATACCATAAATACCATTGCCCTGCCTTAAAAAAAAATTATTGAGATATAATTCAAATACTATATAATTCACTTATTAAAAGTGTGCAATTTGATGGTCTTTAGTTTTTCTTTATTTTTTATTTTTTGAGATGGAGTTTCATTCTTGTTGCCTAAGCTGGAGTGCAATGATGCGATCTCGGCTGACCACAACCTCCGCCTCCTGGGTTCAAGCGATTCTCCTGCCTCAGCCTCCGAGTAGCTGGGATTACAGGCGTGCACCACCACGCCTGGCTAATTTTGTATTTTTAGTAGAGACGGGGTTTCTCCATGTTGGTCAGGCTGATCTCAAACTCCCAGCCTCAGGTGATCCCCCCTCCTTGGCCTCCCAAAGTGCTGGGATTATAGGCATGAGCCACCGCGCCTGGCCTAGATGGTCTTTACTATGTTCAGAGTTATGCATTCGTCACCACAATCAATTTTAGCACATTTTCATCACCCCAAAAAGAAACCCATACCCCCTAAGTCATCACCCTGATGCGCTTTCTTTTTCAGCTTTTTTGATCATTTGGTATAACACTGAAAGAACTAACATTACTACCTAATTTATAGAACTCTATGGCAGATACAATATATACTTTTCTTCTAAATTCTGACTCTCAAATCTGAAAGACTAAACCAGGATAATCTTTTGAATGTATAAGTAACATTTTTCCCTTATTTATTACCCTTCACCAGGGATGCCAAAATTAATTTGTTAAACATGTCAATAACTACATGTTCACTTCTTACTCCTTTAAATTACTATTAGATGTGTTTCAAGATTTTTAATTACTTTGGTAAAATTTCAATTATCTTTGGCTTCCTGCAATATTGTACAAGATATGTGAAACACAATTTTGGATACAACAGATTGTTTAAAAGTTTTAAATGATGTTATTGTCATAAACAAAAAAAAAATCATAAAATACCCAGAAGATAGTTCTGCTTTATTGGGAATTAATTAGAACCTTTATTAATGCACTGCCTTTAAATTTTCTTTTTTAAAATTGATAAATAATGGATGTACACATTTTTGAGGTACACATGATAACAATACATTCATATAATTTGTAAGGATCAAATCAGTGCAATTGGGATATATATATTACCTTAAATATGTGTCTGTTCTTTATGGTGGAAGCATTCAAATTATTATTTTTAAACTATTTTGAAATACACAATAGATTCTGGTAAACTATAGTCACCCTACTGATCTATCAAATACTAGGTTTTATTTCTTCTACCAAAGTGTACATTTGATAAAAGAAATTAATCAACCTCTCTTCATCCTCCCGTCTACCCTTCCTGGCCTCTGGTAATTACCAATCTACTGCCTTATGAGATCCACCTTTTTGGCTCCCATATGAGTGAGAACATGTGAAATTTGTCTGGATTTATTTCACTTAACATAATGACCCCCAGTTCCACCCATGTTGCTGCAAATGACAGAATTTTATTCTTTATTATGGCTGAATAATATTCCATTATGTGTATATACCACATTTTCTGTATCCATTCATCCATTGGTGGACACTTAGGTTGGTTTTATATTTTGACTATTGCTAATAGTGCTGCAATAATTATGGGAGTGCAGATATCTTTAACATATTGAATTTATTTTCTTTGGATATATATTCAATAGTGGGATTGCTGAAATATCTGGTAGTTTTATTTTTAGTTTTTTAAGGAACCTCCACACAGTTTTCCATAGTAGCTATACTAATTTATATTCCTATCAACGTTTTATGACAGTTTCCCTTTCTTCCCATCCTTGCCAGCATTTATTATTCCCTGCTTTTTGATAAAAGTCGTTTTAACTGGGGTGAGATGATATTTCATGGTTTTGATTTGCATTTCTGTGATGGTCAGTGATGTTGAGCATTTTTTCATGTATGTGTTGGCCATTTGTTTGTCTTCTTTTGAAAAATGTGTATTCAAATCTTTTGCCCATTTTTAATCAGATTATTATTATTATTATTTTGCTATTAAGTTGTTTGAGCTCCTTATATATTCTGGCTATTAATCCCTGACAGAAGTATACTTTGAAGATATTTTCTTCCAATCTGTGGATTGTGTCTTTACTTTGTTGATTTTTTTTTTTTTTGCTGTGCAGAAGCATTTTAGCTTGATATAATCCTATTTGTCCATTTTTGCTTTGATTGCCTATGCTTTTAAGGTCTTATACAAAAAAAATTTGCCTAGACCAATGTACTGGAGCATTTCTCCAATGTTTTTTCCTGGTAGTTTCCTAGTTTCAGGCCTTAGATTTAAGCCTTTAATCCATTTTTATTGATTTCTGGATATGGCAAGAAACAGTGATCTAGTTTCATTCTTCTTCATATGGAATATTCAGTTTTCCCAGCACCATTTATTGCATCATTTGTTGAAGACACTGTTCTTTCCCCATTGTATGTTCTTGATGTCTTTTTTGTAAATGAGTTGGCTATAAATGTTTGGATTTATTTCTGCGTTCTCTATTTTGTTCCATGATCTATGTGTCTGTTCTTATGCCAGTGTCAAGCTGATTTGGCTACTATAGCTTTGCCTCTAATTTTAATTCCTTCATTTAAGTGTAATATAGGGAAACAAGAGACAATCCAGAGGGGAGGGAACAAAATAAAGGATTTTAAAAGGGAATAAGTGTAGAGAAAACAGAAGTGGATCTTGTTTCACTCTGAAAATGAGAAGGCCAAGGAATAAATTGGCTGTCCTCCAGTTTAGAGAAAGTATAGTTCATCTACATCTGCACAGATGCCTGTATTATTCTCACTATATACACTCTCCCTGGGCAATCTCATCTACTTCTACTGCTTCACCTATCGGTTGTGGATCTACAAGTGGATTCTGAACTTACAGCTCCATCTCTAAGCCTCTTTTTTGGTCCTGGACCCACATATCCCACTGGATATCTGTATTTGAATGTTACAAGAAACTCAAAATGTCCAAACTTAACTCATCTTTCCCCTTGAGGTAGACAGATTCTAAGGTAGCCCCTTGATCCCTGCCTCACTGTGTTCACACCTCGGTGTCGTCCCCCCTCCTTTGAGTGTGGCCAGGACCTGTGACTTGCTTCTAACCAGTAGAATATGGCAAAGGTAGTGGATGTCACTCCTGTGGTCATACTATGTTATACAACATTCCATTTTACCAGCAGAATCACTTTAGAGACTCTCTCTGCTGACTTAATAACATAAGTAGTCATGTTGGGAGAGCCCAGGTGGCAAGAAACTGTGACCAATCTTCAGAAACTGCACATGGCCTCAAGGAACTAAAGTAAGAAGCAGGGACCCTCAGTTCTACAACCACAGGACATGAACTCTGCCAACAACCAATGAGAATTCAACTTGGCCGACACTTTGATTCAACCTTGTAAGATGCTAAGCAGAGGACCCAGCTCAGTCATGCCCAGATCCCTGACCACCCCCCAAAAAAACCTGTGAGGTAACAAATGTGCTGTTTAAACTGCTAAGTTTGTGAAAATGTATTACACAGCAACAGACAACAAATATACCCCCAAATCTCATCCTCTTCCTCTTTTCTTTGTCTCCTTAAATGGCTCCATACTCTACCCTGTTGACCAAGTCATTCTGAATTCTTCCCTCTTCACTACTACATTTAATCAGTCTCTGTGGACCATCATTTCTGTCTCCTGAATAGCTTCCTCATTCAGCAATTCCCAAACTAGATACCATAGACTTCAAATAGGTGTTCTACACATACACACACAAAAATTCAGTGTCAATTAAGTACGCCATATGAAAATTCAGGCCTTTAGAATTATTTGCCTGCCATATCACTGCCTTAGCCTTTTAATTTGTCTCTCTGCCTCTATCCTTTACTATTTCCAATTCAATCTCATAGGACTACCAAATTTATCTCTCTAAAGCACAAATCTAACCATTTCATTCTGTAAGTAAATGACATCAGTAGCTTACTGACAAAATTCAGACAGCTTCAAGACAAAGTTCAGACTCCTTATCATAACTTCGATCTAAGTAGTGCCTACTTTCATTCCTCAGCATTTCTGCTCTAGTCACACTGCACTTTCAGTTTCCCACATGGACCTTGCTTTCTCACTACCAAACACACTTGCACAGGTTGTTCCTCCCACCTGGGGCTCCCTTTCTGCCCTTGTTCAACTGGATAACTCCTGTTCATCGCTTTTCACTTAACTCTGACACCATTTCCTCCAGAAAACTTTCTCAGACCCCTATCCAAATAAGATGCCCCTCCTGAGCCTACTCGACTTTCTTCCATCACAGGAGGTGGCTTACTTGTTTGGATTTCAGTCTTTCTTACAAGACAGCGAGGCCCTTGTCTTCTGGAACTTTGCCTTATTAATTTGCTACCCCACAGTTAGCATAGTGTCTGATCCAAGCAATAAGTGGTCAGTTAATGAATTAAGTCAGCTCACACCTCATATAGAGTTTGGCAGAAAATGCAGTTATTAACTGCACAGGGAGAAGGCAGAGACTGTTGCAGGAGCAAGATGTAAAATAGGAAAGCAGCCTTTCCTCTGCCCCCAGCTCAGGACCAAGCTCCCATTTCTAGGGCATGTTTTTCAAATGTGCTTCTTCTTTCTAGAAAAAGCTGGTGGGAGGTTGAACATGGTTTTTTGAGCTTGAGTCTTGACTCAATACAGGCCTAAGATCTCCTAAGCATTGGTGGAAATAGTAGAAAGTTGAGGATAGGGCTCAGTGACATCTCAGAGCTGCAATCAGTCTTTGTGTGTTAGAAGGAAGGCACTGCCATCGTGGCTAACATGGTGAAACCCCGTCTCTACTAAAAATACAAAAAAAATTAGCCAGGCGTGGTGGCGGGCGCCTGCAGTCCCAGCTACTCGGGAGGCTGAGGCAGGAGAATGGCGTGAACCCGGGAGGCGGAGCTTGCAGTGAGCCGAGATGGCGCCACTGCACTCCAGCCTGGGCGACAGAGCAAGACTCCGTCTCAAAAAAAAAAAAAAAAAAAAAAAGAAAAAAAAAAGGAAGGCACTGAGAATTGAATGCAGCTCTGATGTGGGTTATAGTTTTAATTTGAAAAAACTCAAATAAAACATTTAATTGCACAAAAGAAAACCAGAACCCATATAAGACAGTGTAGATATTGGAGTTCTTAGTGATTGGGTTTTTCCAATACCTGAATCTGAGAAAGGACTTGGGTGCAGATTGATTATTTAGGAGGTGATCCCAGGCAGCTGAAATAAGTGGGTGGAGAAAGTAAAACAGAGAAGGGAAAAGAGCCAACAAAGAGTGCCTCACTGAGCTGTGGGCAACTGGAGTTGGTTAAGGGTTGGCCCGGGAGCAACTGCCGCCTCCTCCTATGCTCTTCCCTGAACTTTTCAGCTGAATCTGCTTGGGTTGGGCTGAGTGGCCTTCTGTTTTTCAAAGAAAGCCTTGAAGCAGAAAGGCAGAGAGATGCCACTGCCCACATTTGAGGTCGAATGTGGCACTGTGCTTGGAATTGTCCGCCATAGCTGTGCTGGAATCACCTGGGCTAAGAGTGTTGTTTGGGACACCCAAGTGTCTGTTGTGAATTCTAAGAAGCTAAACTGCATTTGTGATCATGAATTTTTTTCTATGCTATAGCCAGAGCTGAATATCTGCAAACCATGTCCTCTTCGGAGAAATGTTTTCTGTAAGTAGATTTAAACTGCCTTGTGCCTGCAAATGTTGCTGGGTTTTGTTGAGATTATTGTGTTCTCATTTGAACAGTTATTACAGATAAGGCCCTGTAATCCTCAAAACTGCAGGAAGCATGTTCAGACACTTTATTCATCTCACACGGGAGAAGAAGTCATAAAAGGAACCAGGCTGGGTTTAGCAAAGCTCACCTTGGACTGAATTGCTGCTGTCAAGGATATGATATTATTGAAAATATAACAACACAGGTTTGAGAAATGTTTAAGAAATGTTTTTTGTCTCTTTGCTATTTGGAAGTGGGACATTTAAGATTGTAATCCTACTGCTATGGGTGTGCATCTCCTGTATTGATATTGGATGCTGTGCTCTGAGGTGTCATGTTGAGGAGGATATGTGAGCTGTTATGAAGGGCATGGTTATTTTCACTGCCAATCATCTTGGGAAGAGGAGGATCCTAAATCAGATGAGAAGGGATTTTTTTCACCATCCTAGACCTGGGCTCCAAGAACATACATGAAGCTACTCATAAGGGGTAAAGGAAACTGTCATCTGCCACAGGGAAATATGTGGTAACCAGGCAAAAGAGCATCCCTATGGATGAACCATGGTTACAAAAAGAACCATACCTGGTAGCCAGTTGTCTCCTGTGCTTCCATCTGCCCTGAGACTCATTAAGTTTTGTTAGAGTGGAGAACCTAGCTTCAGCTCAGTTTTGAGGTTGGGAGTCTATCTGTGTTTGATGTAGAGTACTCTATCTTAAAACTGAAGTAAACACAGTGTGCCCAGAAGAACAAGGATGGTCAATGGTGTTACATGCTACAGAAAGTTCAGAAAGAATGAAGACAAGAATTTTTAAAGCCACCAGGACCCTGCAAGATGGAGGTCAACAGTACCATCCCCGATGGCCACTGCAGGGAAAGTACTGAAGATCACCATCCAATTACAGTGCCTAAAAATAGACAGATAAAAGAAGTGGAAACAGTTTAGAAAATTATTTATATTGCAAATTAAAGGAAATCTTGAGTTTTTCTTAGTTATTATTTGAACTATTACACCTTTATATTGCAAATAAAGAAACTAAGTCTCAGATTGTGACTTCCCAAAGTCACACAGCTAGAAAGTTGACAGAGCCAGATTGTTTTTCCCTCTAGTTCAGTTATTTTCCCCACTCATTTTCAGGCTGGTGGCTTGATAACCAGTGTCAAATAATTGTTTTTGTTTTATTTTTATGTGCTCTTTTCTACCCACTCCCTCCTCCCCCAACAAATGGCTGTCTGGGCATATCTATACACAGAAGATCAAAAGCCAGGGGAATATTCTAAATAGAAGATAATAATTAAAGATGTAAGGTGGGCATGGTGGTATGTATCTGTAGCCCTAACTACGTGGGAGGTTGAGGCAGGAGGATCACCGGAGCCCTGGAGTTGAAGGCTGCGGTGAGCTAAGATCACTCCACTGCCCTCCAGCCTTGGCAACAGAATGAGAACCTATTGCAAAAATAAAATAAAATAAAATAATAAGGAGGCAAAATTCTCCCAGTCAGTCATTTATTGAAGCTATTACCCAGAGCCAATAACATGTGAGAAAGTGTTTTCTGGGCCTTCTGGGAGAGAAAATCATGTACTTTTCACAAAAGTTATTAGCGCTGTCTCCCTCCCTGGACCTACTGGAGGCATTGAAGGAAGAGGAGGGTGATGAGGTGAGGATGGTTTAAAACCAGAGTTTGAAGACAACACTGTGGGAGGCAAAAAAGGGTTAGCAGACATACAAAGACAACAGAATCCTTGGAAATAGATATTTACTTTGAGTCCTTACATTTTTATAGCTGTCTATCTCACACGAATTAATAACCACAAAACACAATATGGTAGAAATCGGGCATAGATGGAGAGAGGGGAGAGCTAGCAATCCAAGTTTAGGCCTGACACACCCAGCAGTGTGTCTAAATGTTCATGATGACAACATCAGAAACAACAGATTATGGAGTCCAGGAGAAGATGTTTATATGTGACCAGAAGTAAACTGACTGATTAGGTAAATTGTAGAGGCAATCATGATTCAATGTCCTAAAGAATCTAGGAGGTGAAGTGACCAACACCACTGGGCTGTTCCCAATATGTATTTCCCCTTTCTTTCTTGGTAACAGAAGCTGATTTTGGGCACACTGTCACTAACGTACCTCCATTTTCTGTCCTGTCTCACAGCTACATGTGGCTATGTGGTTATATTCTGATAAGTGGAATCTATTCAACTTTCAGGAAATATCTTTAGGAAAGAGATAGGTTCTTATTTATTCCTTCTTTTTTGCATTCTCGAATACAGACATGATGGGTAGAGCCTGAGGAGCCATCTTGGACCCTGAGGTTGAAATAACTTGTTAAGGATGGCAAACAACAAGATAGAAAATGCCCAGGGCCCTGGCACTGCAGAGCATCTGCCAGCCCTGAACTATCTACCTCCAGATTTCATTTATGTAGAGAAATGCAATTTGTTTATTTAGGGGATGATCCCAGGCAGCTGAAATAAGGGGGCAGAGAAAGTGAAACAGAGAAGGGAGAAGATCCAACAAAGAGTGCCTCACTGAGTTTTCCCCCTCTCATCATAAACACACACCTCAAGTTATCATTATTTTGCATTTACTGTCACTCAAAGCAAAATCTAATATTAAATGATGCAGCAGGTAAGCCGGACAAGTGAGTGCAGACATGCTGATAGAAGAGGAGACAGATTATGGTGTTAGAAATGGTATGATAAATTGGTAATCTCAATGGAAATTTGGGGATATGTGTTGACGTTGTCATTGCTATGGCCTTGCTGGGTCTCATCAGTGAAAGGACCAACTATGGCGAAGACTTCTTCTCTTTGGCTGATCAGCACCCTTCTCTCCTTTGGAAAATTTGTTACTTTTTCCACGTGTTTCTAGTGTAACTGCAACTACATTACCTTCTCCCTAGTCAAGGGGGACTGCAAGTAACTCAGGTGGTTCTGGCTTATAATTATGTTCTTTCCCATTTATTCAGATGATTGTTTCAATGGTTGGGCAGTTGACCGGAGCCAAAGTCCTCCTCTGAGGTTGTCCTAAATGGCTCCAAAGGGTAAAGCCCCATTTAACTCTGGGGACACAGGGCTGAAGAGAGGTGAAAGTTGTTAGCAGGGCTTGGTCCTTCTGGAGATTCTAGAGGAGAATTTGGCTCCTTACGTTTTATAGATTCTAGAGACATCTACATTATTTGGCTCCTTGCCCCTTCCTCTATCTTCAAAGCCAGCAGTACAACACCTCCAAATTTCTCTCTCTCTCTCCATCTCCCTGACCTCTGCTTCCATCATCACATCTCCTTCTATGATTCTGACACTCCTGCCTCCCTCTTTCTGTTTCTTTCTGCTATAAAGACCCTTTAATTATATTTGGACATGGTAACGGAGGATAATCTCTGCATCTCAAGATTTTTATTTTAATGAGCAAATCCCCTTTGGCCATGAAAAACACATATTCACAGATTCTGAGGATTAGGATATGGATATCTTTGGGGAGCCATTAGTCTTTCTACCACCCTAACCCCACCTCTGGTCTTGCAAAAAATTATTTTCTTATTTTCTTCTTGTCACTTGCAAACAAGAGTCCTGGCCTCATTTACCATTCAACTTCTTGCATTAAATCTAACAGAATAAATACTTTGAGTATACTTACATTTTCTGATAGGCTGTAAACCTCTTTACTCAGGTCAACTTGGTTTTATCATAGGAATTGATCCACCTACTCTATTCTAGTAAAGAACCTCAGGAGTCAACGGAATTGTTGGTCCTTGTAAATCCACCATGATATTGCCTTTTGCATATGCTTAATCCCAAGAAGACCATGATTTTAGAGCTAAATTATTGCCAAATAGTGATATAAGGATTATCAAGACATTGTTTAGGATGTGCTTATTTTCTGGAAATTTCAACCCCTTAATTATTGGCAGGAGTCAAAACCTTATGTAAATAAAAACTCTGGACAATACACAAAAAGTAGCTACCTCAAGATGCTGGAAAACAATAGCAGGTGGATTGTGGAAAGGAGTCAAAGCTTAGTGAATGACTCGTACTGGGTAAGTTTTCCTTCTCTGCCCCTCTTCTCTCTGCTGGTGTTGATTTAAGAGCAACTCTAATTGTGTGTAAGCTGTGCATCAGCATGGGTAGCTGTAATTATGAGAGAAATCCCATCCTTCTAACCAGAGGACTGGAAGGAGGGGCCCTCAGGAGTTGTAGAGAAGGAGGAAGATATCATAGAGAAGGGAACTGGAGAAGAAAATCCCTTATTCTGAGTATAAACCAACACATGTTCCAAGCTCACCCCGAGCTGAGCATACATGAAAAAGATGTAAAGCAGTATAGTGAAGTCTTTGAAAACTAAAATGACATTGGAACCATTTCCCACAGAGATTGAAATAGAGCTTGAGGTATGATCTAACTGGGTTGATTGTCTGTTAAAACAATAAGTAATCCACATTCTAGAGGAATATAACAGGCCCTGAAGTCATTAAATAATATTCAAAATGTCCAGGATACAATCCAAAATTACTCAACATACAAAGAACCAGGAAAATGTGACCAATTATCAAGGGACAGGACAATCAACAGATGCAAAACCTGAGCTAACTCAGATCAGGAGCAAGCTTTTTCTGTAAACAGCTGGATGGAAGGAATATTTTAGGGCATGGGGGCCAAATGGTTTCCATCACAATAACTCAACTCTGTCATTTAGGACAAAAAAGTCACAGACAATATGTAAATAAATAAGCATGGCTATGTTCCAAAAAAATTATATTTATGGAAACCAAAATTTGATTTTCATGTAATTTTTAGTTTCATGAAATATTAGTCTTTCTTTGATTTCCCCCCAAACCATTTAAAACTGAAAACAAAACAATTCTTTGCTCGTGGGCCATGCATAAACAGGCAGCAGTTTGGATTTGGCACATAGGCTGTAGTTTGCCAACTCCTGATCTAGATGTTGGAAACATCATACAAAGACTCCAAAGCAGCTATTATAAACATACTCCACAAGGTAAAGGTAAACACTCTCTAAATGAATTGAAAGACAGACATTCTCAACTAAGAAATAGAAACTATTAAAAAGAAAGAAATGGAATTTTTAAAACAGAAAAATACCATATTTGAAATAACTATCAAGAAACTCAGAAAATCTTCAAATACTCTTAGGAATGCTCTGTTTCTGATGATACCCAATAGAATTAAGATGTACCCCACAATTCTAAGGGTGATTATGAGGAATAAAGTAGATCATTTTTTAAGCAGAATGAAGTTTTGCAGGGGCAGAAGCTCAAATTTAAAACTTCTAGATATTAGATTTGTTACTTTATTATTTCATGTGCTGGGAAAAGGGAATGGAAAATGTATCATCAACTAGAAAATACATGGAAAAGAAAAATATTGCTGTCAGTCATTTTCTTTTATTATTTGTTTGTTTGTTCTGTTTATATTCGTTTTTTCATCACAAAAGTAATACATATATGGTTGGGCGCGGTGGCTCACGCCGGTATTCCCAACACTTTGGGAGGCCGAGGCAGGTGGATCACAAGGTCTGGAGATCGAGACCATCCTGGCTAACGTGGTGAAACCCCATCGCTACTAAAAATACAAAAAAATTAGCCAGGCGTGGTGGTGGGTGCCTGTAGTTCCATCTACTTGGGAGGCTGAGGCAGGAGAATGGTGTGAACCCAGGAGGCAGAGCTTGCTGTGAGCAGAGATTGCACCACTGCACTCTGGCCTGGGTGACAGAGCAAGACTCCATCTCAAAAAAAAAAAAAAAAAGTAATACATATATATGAAAAATTTTTCCAATAATACAAAAGTACATAAAAGTATAAAATCGAAGTTATTTCTTCATCTCCCAACTCTAATACTGAGAGATAAATGCTGTTAACAGTTTGTGTATTTATCTCTTTACTATGCATATAAAATAAATATGTGTATGTGCATTTTTTAAAATAAAAAAGGATCATATTATAGATATTTTAAACTTGTTTCTTTCATTCAGTGATGTATTGTGAATATTTTCCATTTTAGAACATTCATATATACTCATTCTTTCTGACAGCTGTTTAGTATGGATATACTATTATTACTTAACCACTTTCCTGTTAATGAGTATGGTAGATTGAATTATTCATTCTAATTCTTCAGTATTCTATAGTATATCAAACACCCTTGCCATGGGTGGCCTCAATGTGATTTTCTCTGCCTTGACTTTGGGCTCAGTTATGCTGCTTGTTTCAGCCATTAGGATGTTATTATGTGACACAAGCAGAGGCTTGAAATGTGTCTGTGCAGTTACGTTTGTCATCTTATTCTTCTGTCATGGCCAAGAAAAGCATGCCCCAGGTAGTGAGGTCCCATTTGCCTGGGCCCCGGAAAGGGACACATGGAGCAGAGCTGTCCCAGGTAACTTGTAGGTAGTATATGAGAATAAATGTTTATTTGTGTGTGACACTGAGTTTTAGAGTGGTTTCGTTAGGCAGTATTACTGAGGCAATATAAGAATTACAGAATGTTCTATAAGAATGTAATACAGGGCATTATAGAATGTTCATTTAGGTTGGTTCTAATTTTTTTGTTGTTATAAACAATTTTGTAATTAATACCCATCTTTTTAAAGATATCTTGTGTCCAGACACAGTGGCTCATGCCTGTAGTTTTAGCGACTCAGGAGGTTGAGGTGGGAGGATCGCTTGAGCCTGGAAAGTTAGGCTGCAGTGAGCTGTGATTGCACCACTGCACTGCAGCCTGGGTGACAGAGCAAAACCCCATCTCAAAAAAAAAAAAAAAAAAAAAAAGGAAAAAGAAAGAAAATAACTTGTAACTCTAAGCCAGATAAGTTCCCAGAACTATAATTGCTAGATGAGAGCTTAGTATTTTTGAAGCCACACAATATTGATAGTAATAAATATTAATAACATTACTATTTGTTGAGCATTTCCTATATTCTAGATTCTATTTATTTATTTTTTTGAGACGGAGTCTCACTCTGTTGCCCAGGCTGGAGTGCAGTGGTGTGATCTTGGCTCACTGCAACCTCTGCCTCCTGGGTTCAAGTGATTCTCCTGCCTTAGCCTCCTGAGTCATTGGGACTACAGGCACGCACCACCACACCCGGCTAATTTTTGTATTTTTTTAGTAGAGACAGGGTTTCACTATATTGGCCAGGCTGGCCTTGAACTCCTGACCTCAGGTGATCCGCCCACCTCAGCCTCCCAAAGTGCTGGAATTATAGGCATGAGCCACCATGCCCAGCCATATTCTAGACTCTTAGTCTTTTATGTGTCAAGAACTGTAAAGGGTCTGAGAGTTGACCTTACTTGCAAACTAAGAAGTTATCTTGCCACAGTTTCATGGATGCTGGCAGAGACCTGAAACTCCTAGGTCAGAGATAAAGGACTTTGTTATTCATGACACAGCAAGCAGCATGATCATCAGCATGTTTGCATTAGTTGCTCTTGACCCAAAGTACCAGAGGGACATCACATATCAGTCCAGATGGGTACTTGTACATGTAGCAGGTTGTGTTTCAGTAGGTGATCTCTGAGTTTAGGGAATCCAAATTTTTTATAATTGGTGGTAAGCAAGACTGCTCTTTGCTTCAGAGGAAGACATTATTTCCATTTTCCACTGCTGTTCGCTATGCAAATATTCTTGAAAAGATAGTCTGAAATAAAGGGCATTCAGTGCCTTTTCTAATAAGTCATGTAGAAATGGGAAAGACCTATAGACAATTGTCTCCTAATGGTATTTATTAACTTAATACTCTCTACTTTACAAATATGGAAACTAAAACACAGAGAGTGTAAGGAACTTACCCAAGATCACACAGCAAATGAATAGTAGAGCCAGGCATATTGGTTAATTTTTTCATTATCATTTAAACCAGTAGCCTTTTTGAATTTATTAAGCTGTTCCATTTATATAAGAAAAAAATTGTGTTTTGGTAGCACTGTAGCTAGAAGGAATGTTTTCCATGAACAGTTATTTAAAGAAGTTGGGATGCTTTCCAGGAAGAGAATGTTTGGGGATAGAAAATGAAAGCAGCCAAGCTGTCAAAAGTCTTGAAAGACAATATGCACTTCAGGGCTAATGTAGAAACTTGATTTTTTTGTCAATATGTTTGATTGATGTACTACCTCAAGAAGTCTTCTCTACTGATCGTTATGAGGAAGCAACAAAGAAACCAACGTGAATATGGATCTTTCTATTTGTTGAGGGCCAGAGGAGAAACAATTCTACTGCTTTGTAATATAATTATATCAAAGAAGGTTTTATGAAGATTTAGCCTTTTACCATCGGATAATTGTCTCACTAAGATATCCAAGTGATACCTTGAGCTCAATTTTAATGATTTTAGTGGAATATATATTTTTGTATTCTGTAAGGGGTTACCACTATTGTAACAATAAGGTGTCATCTGTATCTGAATATAATTAATATCTAGAAAGGAATCAGAGAGACTTTCCAATAAAGGAAAAAAATCCCGAGAAATAAGATTTATAAACCAATTGTTTTGAATTCAATGTTTTGGTAAAACATTATTTTGATTTCCACTTTTGTCACCCACTGAATTTTCCTACATCTTTGATGAGACATTTTGTTGTTGTAATAATGACTTTTAGAGACAGGTCTCACTCTGTCACCCAGGCTGGAGTGCAATGGCATGATCATAGCTCACTGTGCCCTCAAACTCTTGGCCTCAAGCGATCCTCCCTCCTCAGCCTCCCAAAGCTCTGGGATTATAGGCATGAGCCACTAGGCTGGCTGTCTTTTGTTTTTTGAAGGGCTGGATTAATCATGAGCATTCTTATTCTTTTCAGGAATACAGTCAGCCCTCCATATCCATGGGTTCGCCCTCCATATCCATGTGTTCCCCATCCATGGATTCAACCAACCATGGATCAAAAATATTAGGAGAAAAAAAACTTGCAAAAAGTTCCACAAAGCCCAGTGCAGTGGCTCATGCCTGTAATCCCAGCACTTTGGGAAGCCAAGGTGGGTGGATCGCTTGAGCTCAGGAGTTCGAGGCCAGCCTGGGCAATATGGTGAAACCCTGTTTCTAAAAATTAGCCAGACATAGTGGTGTGCGCCTGTAGTCCTAGCTACTTGAGAGGCTGAGGTGGGAAGATTGCTTGAGCCCAGGAGGTTGTTGAGGCTGCAGGGACCCATGACTGAGCCACTGCAGTAGAGAGAGATCCTGTCTCAAAAAAAAAAAAAAAAAGTTCCATAAAAACAAAACTTGAATTTGTGGAGCACCACCTACTACATTGAATCCACATAAATGAGGTGATGTGTAGGCATAGTACTAGGTATTAAAAACAACCTAAAGATAATTTAAAGTATAGGAAAGGATTGCATAGGTTACATGCAAATACTGTGCCATTTTATGTAGGGGATTTGAGCATTCCCAGATTTTCTTATCTACAGGGTCCTGGAATGAATCCCCCCATGGATACCAAGAAACAAATGTACTTATCTGAATGTATTACTTGGATTTAATTTATCAAATCAGTTCTTTAGGACATATATGTATGTACACATGTTTTTCATATGTTTTTTAAGAAAGACATAATTTTCCCACAAATCTACAGAAAGAATAGTGTTATATAGTTCATTCCAGAAATAAAACAACTCCATTCTATTCATCTGATTTATTGGCTTCTGGAATTCAAAGACATACTAAATATCCAAAATGCAGCTGGGTCTCAGGAACAAATGAACCGAAGTTATGACTGCAGTTATAACACCACTCAGACATTGAATTCTAAATAACCATATTATATATTTTATTTCCAATCAGTTTTCCTATTATTGTATAGGTTTTCTTGTGCAAAAATTGTGTGGAAGAGGCACTAGCTGTGCTGGGGACATACATTTAGAACATATATGAAAATGACAATTCTCACAGTCACCATGTAGATGGAGCAGATTTTGAGGAGAAGGATCGGACATAGGGAGACCCTCAATGACAACCTCTACAGAAAATCTGTAGTCTCCTTTTCTTTCATCCTGCTTTTTTACAGCAAGTTGCAGTTTACTCTTTCTTTGTATGCATGATGCCTCAAATGAATTGGAAAATAGGCAGAGAAGGATATAAATAATAAAAACAAAATAACAAAATCTGTGTTGATAATACTTTATGTTACCAAACCCAAAGGTTAGGAATGCAGAACAAATCAATCATTCAGTTCTGCTACATATGTTATAGACTTTCAGATGTGGATGTATAATGATTACCTCAATTTTCTTCAATGAAGCCCAGGTAATCACAATGCTAACAGATTGATTGATTCATTCATTTATTCAACAAACTTACATTGAGATCTTATTACATGTGAGAAACTATGCCAGATATTTGAATAATGCATTTATTTTATTTTTAAATAGGTTATACATTCAAATGATTAACACAGATGCAAAAATCCTCAATAAAATACTAGCAAACAAAAGTCAACAGCACACTAAAAGGATCATATGCCATAGTCAAGTAGATTTGTTCCTGCTGTGCAAGGATGGTTTAACATACACAAATGTATCAATGTGACATAACACATTAACAGAATGAAGGATAAAAACCATATATGATCATCTCAATAGATGCAGAAAAAACATTTGACAAAATTGAACATCCTTTTATAACAAAAACTCTCACCAATTAGCTATAGCAAAAACATCCCTTAACATAATAAAGGCCATGTATGACAAGCCTACAGCTAACATCATACTCAAAACTGAAAAGTTGAAAGTTTTTCCTCTAAGATTACAAAGAAGACAAGAATGCCCCTTCTCACCACTTCTATTCAACAAAGTGTTGCAAGTTCTAGCCAAAGCAGTTAGGAAAGAAAAATAAATAAAAGGCATCTAAATCAGAAAGAAAAATGTGAAATTGCTTCTGTTTTCAGATGGTATGATCTTATATATGTAGAAAATTCTAAAGACTTCATTAAACAAATGATAAGGCTAATAAATTCGGTAAATTGTGAGATACAAAATCAGCCTACAAAAATCAGTTATGTTTTTCTACACTAACAGTGAACTATCTGAAAAAGAAACTAAGAAAATGATCCATTTTACAATAGCATAAAAAATAAAATAATTAGGAATCAATTTAACCAAGGAGGTGAAAGATCTATACAACAAAAACTCTAAAATATTGATGTAAGAAATTGAAGAAGACACAAAGAAATAGATATCCTGTGTTCATCTATTGGAAGAGTTAACATTATTAAAATGTCCATACTGCCCAATGTGATCTCTAGATTCAATGTAATCTCTACTAAAATTACAGCGGCATTTTTCACAGAAATAGAAAAAAAAAAACAACAATCCTAAAATTTATATGAAACCACAAAAGACCCCAAACAGAGAAAACCATCTTGAATAAGAAGAACAAAGCTGAAGACATCTTTCAAACTATGTTGCAAAGCTGTAGTAATCAAAACAGTATGGTACTGGCATTAAAAACAAACACATAGACCAGTGGAAGAGAATAGACAGCCAAGAAATAAACCCATACATATTTGGTCTACTAATTTTCAACAAAGGTGACAAGAATACGCAAAGGGAAAAAAATAGATTCTTCAATAAATGGTTCTGGTAAACTGGATATCCACATGCAGAAAGAAAGAAAGAAAAGCAAACAAATAGATAAATAATTAAATTGAACTCTTCTCTTATGCCATACACAAAAATCAATTTAAAAGGGATTAATGACCGAAACATAAGACCTGAAACTATAAAAGTCCTAGAAAAAAACATAAAGGAAAACTTCACAACATTGATCTCAGCAATAGTTTTTCAGATTTGATACCAAAAGGACAGGCAACAAAAACAGAAATGAGCAATGTACAGTAATAAAACTAAATGTACCTACTGTACAGTATCAAACTGAAAAGTTTTTGCATAACAAAGAAAACAACCAACAAAATTAAAAGGCAGCTTATGAACTGGTGGCAAATATTTGTAAACCACATATCCAACAATGAGTTGATATTCAAAATATGTAAGGAACTCATAAAACTCGATAGCAAAAAAAAAAAAAAACCCTAAATAACCCAATTTAAAAATGGGCAAAGGACCTGAATAGACACTTTCCCCTAAGAAGACATACAATGTCCAACAACTATATGAAAAGATGCTCAACCTCACTAATCATCAAAAAAATGCAAATTAAACTGAGATATCCCCTCACACTGAGCTATCACCTCACACTTGTTAGGATGGTTATTACCAAAACGTCAAAAGATAACAAGTGTTGGCAAGGATGTGGAGAAAAGGGAACTTTTAGACATTTTTTGTGAGAATGTAAATTGGTACAGTTGTTATGGAAAACAGCATAGAAGTTTCTCAACTAAATTAAAAATAGAATCACCATGTGATCCAGAAATCTCACTTCTGGGTATGTATCTAAAGAAATTGAAATCAGTATGTCAAAGAGGTATCTGCACTCCCATGTTCATTGCAGCATTATTCACAACAGCCAAGATGTGGAAACAACCTAAGTGTCTGTCAACAGATGAATGGATAAAGAAAATGTGGTATACATATATAATGGAATATTATCAAGCCTTAAAAACTAAGTAAATCTTGCCATTTTCAACAACGTGAATTAAACTTGGAGACATTATGCTAAGTGACAGAAACCAAACACAGAAAGACAAAACTGCATGATCTAATGTATATGTGGAATTTAAAGAAAATGGAACTCACAGAGCAGAGAATAGAATGGTTGTTACCAGAGACTGTGGAGAAGGGGACAAAAGAAGATATTGGGGATACAAACCTTCAGCCATAAGGTAAATAAGTACTGGAGACCCAATGTACAGCATGATGGTATATGAGTCCATTCTCACATTGCTATAAGAAACCACATGAGACTGGGTAATTTATGAAGAAAAGAGGTTTAATTGATTCACAGTTCCACAGGCTGTACAGGAAGCATGGCTGGGGAGACCTCAGGAAACTTACAATCATGGCAGAAGTTGAAGGGGAAGCAGGCACATCTTCACCTGGCAGAGCAGGAGAGACAGCAAAGGGAAAGGTGCCATACACTTTGAACAACCAGATGTCCTAAGAACTGTATCATGAGGCAGCATTAAGGGGATAGTCTAAACCATTAGAAACCACCCGCATGATCCAATCACCTCCCACCAGGCTCCACCTCCAACACTGGGGACTACAGTTCAACATGAGATTTGTGTGGGGACACAGAGCCAAACCATATCAGATAGCTGTAGTTAATAATAATGTACACTTGAAAGTTGCTAAAAGAGTAGATCTCAAGTATTGTCATTAAAAAAATAAAAGGTAGGCCGGGTGCAGTGGCTCACATCTGTAATCCCAGCACTTTGGGAGGCTGAGGCGGGCGGATCACGAGGTCAGGAGATGGAGAACATCCTGGCTAACAGGGTGAAACTCCATCTCTACTAAAAATACAAAAAAAAATTAGCTGGGCGTGGTGGCAGGCCCCTGTAGTCCCAGCTACTCGGGAGGCTGAGGCAGGAGAATGGCGTGAACCTGGGATGTGGAGCTTTCAGTGAGCCAAGATGGCGCCACTGCACTCCAGCCTGAGCGACAGAGCGAGACTCCGTCTCAAAATAAATAAATAAATAAATTAAATAAAATAAAGGTAATTATGTTAGATGATTGATATGTTAATTAGTTTGATTGTGGTAATCATTTCACTATGTATACATATATCATACATATAGCAAAACATCATGTTGTATATTTAAAATATATCCAATTTTTATTTGTCAACCATGTCTCAATAAAGCTGGGGAAAAACTCCAAGTGATTTTAAATCAAAGTAATCCTAAAAGGTATACACTGTAAAGTTTTATTCCCACAAAGGTTCCCATCTGCTTCTCTTCTCCCCGTCACATATCCTATAGGCGGAGTGATCATACATTGTGGTTTCCCAAGAACATTTCCAGTTTATGCCTTTTTTCTTGGTTTAATTATTAATAGTGCCCCCATTTACTCTCAAAAGTTTAACTAATAAACATGAGAGGAAAAAAATCAATGAACTTGAAAACAAAAGTAATAGAAAAAAATTAATGAAACCAAAACAGATTCTTCTAAAACATCAATAAAATTGATAAACTTCTAGCCAGACTGACAAAGAAAAAAAGGGAGAAGACAAAAATTACCAATATTGGAAATAAAAGAGGGGCTATCATGACAGACCCCCACAGAAATTAAAATGATAAAACGAATACAGGAAGTCCTCAAAGTGTGTCATTTCATTCAACTTTGATGAGGTTAACAAAAAAATTGATTAATGGCACACTGCGTAGAGTTTGCATGTCCTCCCCGTGTCTGCGGGTTTTCTCTGGTTACTGCAGTTTCCTCCCAAATCCCAAAGATGTGCATGTGACGTAAACTGCTGAGCTAAATGGTCCCCGTGTAACTGATTGTGTATGTGTGTGCATGTTTGTGTGTGTGTGTGTGTGTGCCCTGAGATAGGGTGGCATCCTGCCTCGGGCTGGTTCCTGCCCTGTGTCCTGAGCTGCGGGGATAGACTCTGGCCACCCACAACCCTGAACTAGGATAACTGGGTAAAAGCTCTGGCCACCCACAACCTTGAACTGGGATAACTGGGTAAATAATTATCCTACTTGTTTTTATTAATCTTTTTTTTTTTTTTCTGAGACCGCGTCTCACTCTATCGTCCAGACTGGAGTGTAGTGGCTCAATCTTGGCTCACTGCAACCTCCGCCTACCAGGTTCAAGCAGTTCTCATGCTTCAGCCTCCCCAGTCGCTGGGACTTCAGGCACGTGCCACCACGCCCGGCATTTTTGTATTTTCAATAGAGACGGGGTTTCACCATGTTGGCCAGGCTGGTCTTGGACTCCTGACCTCGGGTGATCCACCCACCTTGACCTCCCAAAGTGCTGGGATTACAGGCGTGAGCCACCGTGCCTGGCCTATTAATCTGTCTTAAATGTATGTATAGCTCTCATTTATTTCAATATTTAATATTAGAAGTGTTTTGGTCTTTATTTAGAAATTTGGTGATGTTTTTGTGACCAGAAGTATGTCATAGGCACCTAACTGTCATTTATATCAATTAGGCTATAATAAAAGTGGTTTCCTTAAACTTTCAATTAAGGTTGCCATTTCCAAGAACGTACTGAGGATGTTAAGGACTTACTGTCCTAAAAACAACTGTATGCCCATAAATCCAACAACTTAGATAAAACAGACCAATTATTAAAATACACAAGCTACCTACACTCACTAAAAAAAAAAAAAAAAAATAGTTCTACAACTATTAAATAAATTGAATTTGTGGTTAAAAACTTTTCAAAAAAGAAAATTCCCTGCCCATATATTTTACTGCAAAATTCTAGAAAACATTTAAGGAAGAAACAATAACAATTCTATACAATCTTTTTCTGAATTTATAAGAGAAGGAAACACTTCCCCATGCATCTTATGAAGCTAGCATTACCCTAATAGCAAAACCAGTATAATGAAAGAAAAATAAAGACCAGGCCAGGTGCGGTGGCTCATGCCTATAATCCCAGCACTTTGGGAGGCTGAGGCGGGCAGATCACTTGAGGCCCAGAGTTTGAAACAAGACTGGCCAACATGGTGAAACCCTTTCTCTTCTAAAAATACAAAAATTAGCTAGGTGTGGTGGTGAGTGCCTGTAGTCCAAGCTACTTGGGAGGCTGAGGCCCAGTAATTGCTTGAGTCTAGGAGGTAGAGGTTGCAGTGAGCTGAGAGCACACCATTGCACTCCAGCCTGGGTGACAGAGTGAGACTCTGTTTCCAAAAAAAAGAAAAAGAAAGACCAATATCCCCCACAAACACAGACACAAGAATACTCAACAAATTATTATTAAATTGGGTCTAGAAATATATAAAAAAGGAAAATACAGAATGATTAAGTGGGATTTATCCAAAGAATGCAAGATTGTTTCAATGTGGGAAAACTCAACCAATGTAATTTACCAGATTACCAAACTAAAGAAAAAAACCATGATTATCTAAATGGCATTTGACAAATTCAAATTTCTTTCCAAAAAAACTCTCAGCAGACTAGAAATGAAAGGAAATTGCCTGGATATGATTAAGGACAACTGTAAAAACCGATGACTAACATCATACTTAATGGGAACAAGATAAGGACATCCTTCTTTCACCACTGCTATTCAATATCATAGTAAAAGTTTTAGCCAGTGCAACAAGGCAAGAAAAACAAAGTCATTCAGATTGAAAGGGAAAGAAAAAACTCTATTTGCAGATGTCAGAATTGTTTATGTAAAAAAATCCCAAATAACACACGAAAAAAATTCTAAAGCTAGTCCTAAAACTAGTAAGAGAGTTTAGCAAGGTCATAGGATAAGAGCTCAAAATACAAAAGTCAATTATATTTCTATGTACTAGCAACAAACAATGGATTTGAAATTTAAAAAAAAAACTAGTAACAAAAAGTGGAAAACTTAAACACAAATCTAAAAAAAATATAGTATCTATATATTGAAAACTATAAGATACTAATTAAAGAAACCAAAGAAGACCTTAGATATGTGGAGAGATACATTATCTTGGTTTGGATGAAAAATTATATGGTCACACTATCTACACAGGTAATAAAAGGTACTTTTATTTCTTTTGTATATTCCCAGTGCTTATTTATACAAATATAAAATTCTTATCCCCCCTGGCATTACACAATACCTCACTTGTTCAACTTAAAATATATCCTATAGAATTTTCCATATAAGTACATAGACATTTTCCTCATAAAAAAATTTTTATTGTGAAAATAATTTTAGACACACAGAAAATTTGTAAGAATGGCATAGTAAATACTCACATACCACCACCTGGATTTCCTTATTTTCTTTGATAAACATGGTATTTGATTGTGTGAAGTTAATTCATATATTTCTCATTGAATAGTTAGATGCTGAAAATTCTGTCTTACCCCACTGCTGTCAGATGGGGTGGAGAATGGTAGGAGATGGAGTCTAACCAAAATGCATAAGCTTTGAAGCGAGATAGAGCCAACTCCAAATAACCATTCTGTCACTTATTGGCTGTATGGCCTTTAGGCAAGTTACTTAACTTCCCCCGGTGTCAGTTACTTCATAAGTAAAATGAGAATATAACTACTACACCAAAGGTTACAGTCAGAATCATGTGGTGATATGATAAAGTACAAAAGAGTACTTTAATCTTAGGAAAGGTAAAATAGAGCTGCAGCAGTGTCATCATAGCCTTGACCTTATTCATAAGTTTGGTTAATGGAACAAGGTGAAAATCTACCTGACTATAAAATTTAGTTGGTGGAGCTAAGTGACAGAGACCGTATAAGAAGCACTGTTATCCTTGGCCATTTCAATTAATAGAATTATCTTCTCAGCCGTGGCCGGGCGCGGTGGCTCACGCCTGTAATCCCAGCACTTTGGGAGACGCGAAGTGGGCGGATCACGAGGTCCAGAGATCGAGACCATCCTGGCTAACGTGATGAAACCCCGTCTCTACTAAAAATACAAAAAAATTAGTGGGGCGTGGTGGCGGGCACCTGTGGTCCCAGCTGAGGCAGGAGAATGGTGTGAACCCAGGAGGCAGAGCTTGCAGTGAGCAGAGATCAAGCCACTGCACTCCAGCCTGGGCGACAGAGTGAGACTCCGTCTCAAAAAAAAAAAAGAATTATCTTCTCAGCCTTGGGCTGATTCACCAGTTCATTAAAAAGCCAAAGACTCTTTCAAATCCTAATCTCTATACCCAGAGCCAATACTTTACCAAAATATCTGGATTGCCCACATAAGGTGAGGAGCCAGTTAGTGAATTTGCCATTTTTATTCTTTTATTTTACCAACAAGATATGAAAACTTTGGGTGTTCTGTTTGCATTTCTTTGTCCACGGAATACATTTCCAACTCCAAGGGGAAGTAGTTGCAGGGAACTTTACTGCCATTCGTGTAACTACAATGTCAAATCATCTGCAGCGTATATTCTATTTGGAGGCCTTTTCCTGGCTTACAAGTAGAGAGTGAAACACAGCCTCTATTAGTAGAGCCGTTTCAAAATTTATTCATTCACTCACCTAACAAAAACTTTCCAAACCCCTACTGTGTGCCGGGCATTGTACTTGGTGTTGAAAAGAAAAAAACAAATTCCTGTCCTTAAGTAGCTTACAGCTCAAATAAGGGGAAATAAGATACATTGACAATTATGAAGTGCTTTGGGAGAGAATAGAATGGCTTCACAGAAGAGGCTAAGTTTCTGTTGAGCTGGTGAGACTGACAAGAGGAAGGCCGTGCGCAGCAGAGTGAGCATAACCTGCAAGCACAAAGACATTCTATGGTAGCAGGCTTGACTTCAGAGTTCCACTGGGGCACTAGGTGCAGAGTAGGCTGGAGGGTTTGGCTGAAGCTATTACCAGTTTGGTCTTCATCCTGCTCAATGGAAAACTTTTCGTTCAATGGGGGAACGATTAAATGTTTTTAAGCAAAGACCTGAGATAATCAGATTTACTTTTTTAAAAGATCTGGTAGCCATATGAAGGATACTTTGGAAGGGGTAATAGGAAAACCAGTTAGGAGGTTATCGCAGTGAAACAGAATGTGGTCTTCATGGAATATCTAGGATTTCCGTGAATGAAATGATCTTGTTTGATAAATGGGGTAATGTCTGAGAACTATTTATCAACTGAAAATCAAGAGGGAAATCAGCAAGAAAATCGGTATGTTTGGCATTATTTCAATCAAAATCCTGGCAGAATTTTTGTAGGTATCAACAAGTTGATTCAAAAAATTTGGGAGAAAGGTAAAGGAACTAGAAAGTTAAAGGAACAGCCAAAACAAATTTGAAAAAGGACAAAGTTGGAGGACTATACTCCCTGATTTCAAGTTTATTGAAGACTTCAGGTCCTTTTCTCTAACTCTGTAATTGCTTAAGTTCTTATACGGTTTGCCAGACAGTGAATAAGGGAAAACAAATGAAAAACACGAATTTAATCAGTTTGGTTCCCTGACTGCTGCTTAATATGGAGATTTGAGGAGAAGGTGAAAACTCTCATTACACAAAAACACGTGGATACATGTATCACTCATCTCTTAATTCCACTGATAAACCAGAGGTCATTGCAAGATAAAACATACATAATGAAAATAATTGGCTGTTTGCACTGACGCTTTAAAATACATTTTCATTTCCTATTAAAAGCTTTATTTGGTCCCTTTCTCTGAATAATGTATGCAGTGCTCATTTCTCTTCACCGGATCGGCTCAAAGCTTGATGAATATGGCTGTGGTTTGATGGGCAGTCTCTGCATCTCACATTGAGGCTCCGCTATGAAAAGAATTAGAATAGCAAGATCAATTGTCAGGCTAAGTAAATGAGCTCTCATCTCGGATCTGATTGCTTATATGAGAGGGCTGAAGTGATTCTTGGCTGCACTCTCAGGGAGAAGAGAGAAATGCATTTTAATTGCCCTGGCAGGGATAACAGGTGTTCTGTCCAGCTACCAAAACGCAAAGCCGCGTCTTTGCACTATAGAAGGCTTTCCCTTAAGTGAGAATACATATTCTTAAAGCAAAACAACTCAGAAACGCTGGTGTGGTGATGCACGCCTGTAATCCCAGGACTTTGGGAGGCCGAGGTGGGCGGATGGCTCGAGCCCAAAGAGACCAGCCTGAGCAATATGGTGATGACCCCGCCTCCACGAAAAAATACAAAAATTAGCCAGACGTGGTGGCGCGCGCCTGTGGTCCCAGATACTGGGGAGGCTGAGATGGGAGGATCGCTTGAGCTCGGGAGGTCGAGGCTGCAGTGAGTCGAGATCGCACCACCGTAATCCACCCTTGGCGACAGAGGAAGACCCTATCTCAAAAAAGCAAACCACCAAAAAAACCAGGGACAGCTCAATGCTCTTTTCCGTTTCATAGCTACTTACACTCAGATTTACAAATACCTATTAACTTGTAGACAGGGCAAGAAATAATTTATGCTGAAGAGACGAAAGACCTGAAAACAGATTTCTGTGTTTTACTCTCCATGTGGCCATCATGGACGAGGACGAAGAGGGACTTGATTTTTCCTTTAACGAGAAGAATGTTTAAGCTCTGAATTTTTAACCAATTTTTATGCTCGTTACTCTGCTGTAGGGTATGTATTTACCAAGATTAGCAGAACACCGCGAGTTCACCAGGCGGAGACAAGTCACTGTGAAGTGGGCAGCACAGGACCCCCCGGAGGGCAGGCGCCGGAAACTACATATCCCGGCGTGCCCCGCTCGCGAGCACAGTGGAGCCTGCCGCCATTCGGTTCACGGCGCTACGCATTCCCTGAGCGCCGCCGGATGCCGGCCTGGGTCCCGCCCAGGGCTGAGGGCCCTCCTGGGCCGGGAAAACTACAGTTCCCGACATGCCCTGCCACGGGTGCGCCTGCGTACCGGAGCTACTGCGCCGGGGAGCGGGTTGGTTTAAAATGCTGTGTTAGTTCCACGGAAACCCGCTCGCCTGCTGCAGTACGGAGCCTCAGGCGGACAGATGGACTGTAAGGTGAGGCTGCCGGGCCCCGGGCTGGTGAGGGGTGGTCGGAGGCTCGCGAGGCTTCGGCTCAGATAAGGACAGTCACCACTCCCTGGCGCCCTCTCCCTGTCCTGACGGAGTCCAGTCTCACTCCCTGGACCTCAGGGCCCTGATTTAAGGCGCTTTGGCGTTGGCTGCCGGTGAAAGCCATTTAGGAGCGAAGTTTGCATTGGCCTGGCTCCAGCTGAGGGATGGGAGATAGCCACCGAAGCCTCCAGATAAGCCCAATACCACCTTTATTTATGTGTTAAGTTGGAGTTTAATAGGTTCCTGGGAAGGCTATTTCGGCGTTAATGTTTGATTTTTGCCACCAGTTAATCCTCCCTGGCTTGCTTACCAGAATATAGGTGTCAGGAATTTGCACTTGTTCTTTACGGTTTCCGCAGTACCTGGCGCTCTTGCTAGAACGGAATAGACATTCGTTAAATTCCTGTCGAAGTATTCTCCTGTTTATTTACCACCTATAATTTCCCAGGCACTGTATTAGGCTCTAAAGATAGAAAAATGTCTATTTTTAACCCCACTTTAGAGAAGTTCGTATTAGTCCGTCTTAAATGCCCCCCAACACATGCTTCTAATTTGTTAATCTTGGCGTGCTCAGGACTAGGTCCTTTAATCCTTTGTGTTCTCTGTTATCCCGCCTTATGGTTTTCTTGAGCTCTTCAGAAATTAGTCTCCAGTCCACACCTCACCCCCAAACTTCAGATCCACAAATTCAATAATGTATTTGGTATCTTTCATGTTTTAAATTTGACATTTTAAAAACTACTCTTTATCTTTTCCACAAAACGGATTCTTCCTTAATAAGTTTGCATTGTCTCAGTGATAGCACCATCCAGGCCAAAAACCCTGTAGTAATCTTGGCTTCTTCCTTTCCCTCATATCTCATATCTAATGCATCAGCAAAAGCTATCTTTCAAGTATATCTAACCACTAACCACTTCTTACAGTAGGAATACCGCTGCTGTCACCTTGGTTCTGGCCAGCAGCATCTCTACTTCTGCTTTTGTTCTTCCACCATTTGGAGTGGGAGGGAGTCAAAATGATCCAGTTAAAAGGAAAGTTGGATAGCATTCCTCAGCTATAGACCTCCAGTGACTCTGAGAATCACTGACAGCAAAAGCCAGACTTCTACAATGGCCTTCAAGGCTCTGTGTATTCTGTTTTTTGTTTTTTTGAAACGGAGTCTCGCTCTGTCGCCCAGGCTGGAGTGCAGCAGTCTCAGCTCACTGCAAGCTCCGCCTCCTGGGTTCACACCATTCTCCTGCCTCAGCCATCCGAGTAGCTGAAACTACAGGAGCACGCCACCACGCCCGGCTAATTTTTTTTTTATTTTTATTTTTGTATTTTTAGTGAGACGGGGTTTCGCCGTGTTAGCCAGGATGGTCTCGATCTCCTGACCTCTTGATCTGCCCGCCTCGGCCTTCCAAAGTGCTGGGATTACAGGCGTGAGCCACCGCGCCCAGCCGTATTCTGGTTTTATTATTACCGTCTGACCTCATCTCTCAATGTTCTCTGTGTTACTCCTTCCTCTCCAGCCAAACCCACCTCTTTATTATGTGCGGACTCATCAGACCTTCTAACTTCAGGCCTTTGCACTTGCTGTTTCCGTCTTCTGGGCCTTTCTGCCCTCTGATATCTATATAACAGGTCTTTGCTCAAATGTTATGAGGCCTTCTTTGACCACCCTGTTTAAAATGAAAATCTGCCCTGTAGCCTCCATACCATGTTCTTTCCTATTTCATTTTCCTCCTTTGCACTTATCACCAATAAACAAACTATGTATTTTACTTAGTGTCTGTCTTCTTCAGCTGGAATATAAGCTCCACGAAGGCAGGGAGTTTTGTTCGTACTGTTCTACCCAACCCCTGCCCCCCGCCTCATTGCCTATAACAGTGTGTGGCTCATGGTAAATGTTCAGGAAATATTTGTTAGATGTGTGAGTGAATGAAGACAGTGTTACCATATTATTTTCTAGTGGTTGTGATAAACAACATTGACTCCCTGGACTGTTATTTTGGAACCAACAGCATGTACTTGTATACGCTTTTGCCAGTGTACACCTATTGCCAGGTGTAGGAATGGAGCCTGTGTCCACAGAAGCATGTGTTCTCTTTTCAAAGTCATCTGGTTTTTACTAGTATATTACTTGTGACATTGGTCTTTTTCTTGCCATGCTTTCCATAAGGTTACCTGCCTAGAAGCTCTTTGGAAATATTCTCCCTAAACATCAAGACAGAATTCTGTTAGTTTGATAATAATATATGCATAGAAATTAGTTATGAATGAACTTTTTTAAAAATAAAAGTTTATATCTCAGTATTTTTATTATTGTTACTATCAAGCGTTAGGACTTAGGTTCAAGGCAGCAATCAATATTTGCTCCTTTTCAAACACAACAAAGCACAGATATGTTAAAGCTGTTGTCTCTTTGCTAGAATGTCAGCCATTAGAGGTAGATTGTTTTCATGTAAGACTGTGCTTCTTAGACTATGAGCCATAGAACTATGACTTATGAGGATCTGCCAAGTGGCCATTGGAGAGTGTGCGTGTATTTATGTATGTAGGGGTGTGGGTGGCATTTCTGCTACCACTGCTTTGGGCCTACCAGATGGGGAGGACAGGCAAGGGTATGAGCAACTGCAGTGAAAATGAGAATCTCTCTCTAACTTTAAGCCCCAACTTGGTAGATTAATTTACTGGATTGAAAGTTCTTATCTCATACTTTAACAGCCTCCCAGATACTCGGGGACTCTGCCTGGTGGCTTTAAGGCTGTCCTCTTGCTACTCAGCCATTACCGCCCCCTCCCTTGCTTCCAAGGACTCTCCTGACCTTGGCATTGTTTGGTTTTTGTTTTTGTTTTCCCATGGCGGGAAGTGGAGGTGGTGGTTGGGAGGGAAGGTTTTTAACTAACCCTGAGACTTGTTTTCATTTTTTATTTTTTTTTAGAGACAAGGTCTTGCTTTGTCACCCAGGCTGGGGTGCAGTGGCACAATCATAGCTCACTGCAGCCTCTACCTCCTGGGCTCAAGTGATCCTCCTGCGTCAGCCTCCCAAGTAGCTAGGGCTACAGGCACAGGCCACCATGCCCAGCTCATTTTTAAAAATTTTTGGAAGAGAATAGGGTCCTGCCATGTGGGCCAGGCTGGTCTGGAACTCCTGGCCTCAAGTGATCCTCCCACATAGGCCTTTCAAAAATGCTGGGACTACAGGCATGAGCCACTGTGCCTGGCCATGAGATCTGTTTTTAGTAAATCCCCAAAGGCTAGATTGGCTTATTTAATTTTTGTTTCAGCAACTTTGATGACCTGAACAGGATTCTCAGCGATTGACTAAGAGGATATTTTAAGGACAACACCATGTATTTCACTCAAAAGCTTTGTGCCCTGCCAACCATCAATCAGTGTCCGAGTCACCTCAATCTCCCCCTTCTTAGGGTGAATTTTCTATAAACCTCCTTCCCCTCAGAGGCTGGGCCAAGTTGGTTGCTCCTTTTTGAAAGTATATTTTCTCTATGGAAGCCTGAGAAGCTTCAGTGTAGAGCAGGGTCGGGTGGCACTCAGTGTGGATGCAAACCAAATTCCTACCGCGACATGTTGGACCTTCTTTTTTTTAAAACAAGTGAAGCAATTTAAATGATTTGCTGTTTTGTTTTCATGGCTGAATGTACACATGTCCTGGAGAGCCAATGTAAGCATTTAATACAGATCATAGGTTCCTTAGGGAAATATCAACAAAACTAAACATTTGAACAATTACATGAAAAAATTTTAGTTGGGAATCTGCATCCTATTCAAAATATGTGGGGGAGCTTCTCCATTTCCATTTTTTTCCAAAGACAGACTTTTGCAATATGAGTATTAGTATTATGTGCTTGGCTTCTGATATAAATGAACATAGACAAGACTCTATATTATAACCAGCTACCTGGGTCTAATAAATTGCCACAGAAATTGTTCTCCCTTCCCCTCTCCAGCACTGCTTGTCATTTTTACTTCTTCCTTCTACTTGTTTTTCCACCAGCTAATGCCTGGGCCTACTATATGTAGAAGAAAGTGACTAAAACAAACAAAAAAAAGTTTTTTATCTCACATAAGCAGAGTTTGAAGATTACTGGTTTTGCCCAAGTGTCAACATAGTCTGAGGTTCTCTGTCTTTTCCTTGTGTTTATCAGACACTGGTGATCCTTGGCTCTTCGTTTATATTTGAGAGTGAGCTGCTGCATACCTGACTGATGGAACGCTCTGGGAATTGTAAGGGGGTAGGAAAAGACAGGTGCCATCATTACTCTTTTTTTAATCTAGAAAAACAAAAGTCTGCCTAGGAGCCCTTTTGCAAACTTCTGCCCAAAGTCTCTTTGGCCAGAATATATCACATGAGTGTGCCTGCTGAGGCGAGGCTGGGGTCATGAGCTTTTCTGCTTCTTTTGGAGAGAGGACAAAGGAGCTGTGTCTGCGCACACCCTATTAGCCACCCTTTCCCTAGGTTTTCTCCCCATCTTTGGCATGATTTATCTCTAGGTCAGTAGCTGGACAGCAGGTGACAGAAAATAGAATGGAGGTGTTTCTCCATTGTTACCCCTCCATTTTTTCCCCACCCAGTGCTGTTGGTGGCTCCACCAACTGCAGCCCTGGTTTATGGCAGCTGATCCAGCCCGACGGGCTTACTCAGAGGCTCTTTCGTTTACTACTTGAGGAATACTATACTGGCTCATGTGGTAACATTACCAGGAGTCTCCACATCAGTTTTTTTTTTCCCAGAAATGTAGAGGAGCCCCACTTCGAATATTTTGCGTGTCCAGAGACTGCATCAATATCTGCATGTCTTTGTCTTTCCTTCAGGAATGAACTGAAAAAAATGAAAGTTAATTAATAGAAGGGAGCTTCTTTCACCCCATGTCCTTAAGCTGACTTAACAACAAATCTAAAGAATGCAAAAAGCTTGTGTCAAAAAAAGTTTCACAGTAGGGCATGAAAGAAAAATTCTGGTCAGAAACACCATAGTAAGAGTAAAAAGAAAAATAGGCTGGGCGTGATGGCTCATGCCTGTAATGCCAGCACTTTGGGAGACTGAGGCTGGCAGATCACTTGAGGTCAGGAGTTTGAGACCAGCCTGGCCAACATGGTGAAACCCCGTCTCTACTAAAAATACAAAAAAAAAAAAAATTAGCCGGGCATGGTGGCACATAACTGTAATCTCAGCTACCCGAGAGGCTGAGGTGGGAGGATTGCTTGAACTTAGGAGGTGGAGGTTGCAGTGAGCCAAGATCGCTCCATTTCAGTCCAGCTTAGGTGACAGAGCAAGACTCTGCCTCGAAAAAGAAAAAAATAGGCCATTTTCTGGAACCTGTGGGAAGAAGATACAAAGTGAATTGGAGAGCTATTTCAGGATGAAGAAACATCCTCAGCGGGTATAGCAAGCTCAGCCCCACCATGATTCTTGCTCCCTTAAATCCTGCCACCAGTCCTCCCACTTCATGAATTCTTGCCCTGGGTCCCAGGACCACCTTCAGCAACTTGAACATGAGGTGGACCCCCCTTTCACTTCCAGGAAGGTAAGGGTCAGGGAGATACCTGATGACATAGGAAGTGGGTACAAAGGTGTATTCCTGATATCCCAAGTTGGACCCTTGTGAACACATTCCCATACGAACACTATCGCTAGAAATGGCTAAGGCTTACAGCATGATTAGTAGAGAAATGTCTGCAGAGAACGGAGTTGCAGGACAATGTTTTTAAAGTTTTCACCAATTACCTTGTCATTGAACGTGATTCATTTACACGTTGTGACCACATATAAGCTAATTCTGCTTCTGTCACTAATATCTTGAAAGTATTCTCACTATTCTTATTTATTTTCATTGCGTTTTGGGGGAGGAGTCTGTGGAAAGTTGATGTCAATAGCTGTAGAAAGGTCTTTGCTCTTGCCTGAAGTTAAGGTTGCATGTTATTTTTTAAAATGCTGCTTCAATGCAGGATACATAGTTGGTAAGTCATTTATTTTATGGCAACTGTACAGAGGTCCAAGTATAGAATGTTTTTCAAGAAGGTTGAATGGTAATAATGTTATGATGAAAATGGCTAGTAATAAAAGCCATTCCCTCAGCAAGTCATAGGTCCTTGTGTGTGACTAATAGTGGCAAATAGAATAGACTAAATTATGATGAAATAAAGTACTCAACAATCTTAATGGCTTACAACAACATAGGTTTATTGTATGTCATGACATCCACACTGTATATCATGAATGGGTTGTGGGTCTGTTTGATGTCATTGTCACCGTGGGATCCTAGTGCCTGGAGAAAGTCCTACCTGGGATGTTGCTCATCTCATAGGGGAGGGAAAAGAGAGAGATGGTGAAGAACAAGCTGGCTCTTATAACTTCCACCTACATTTAATTGGCCAAAGCAGAACACATCACCATTCCTGAGTTCAACAGGACAGTGATGCCTAATCCTGGCACAGGAATGGCAGTGACTATTTTTGAACAATAATAGGACCTACCACACTAAGATTGTGACTGTATTCTTAGGTACATATGGAAACTACAGTGTCCAGACCGGTCCTTTCTCCAACCCACATCAACGCTACAGCTTCTGAAACATTCACAGTACTTCAGCAAAGGATGAGAATAGTTGAGGAACAGACCAGTTCACTGAGGGATGACCTAATAATGTTGGATTTTGGTGAAAAAAGGTAACAAAAATGAACTACATCTCTGTAGGTTGAAGAATTTTGCTTCACTGCTTATTAAGTCACAGTAGTTTGGCAGATGAGATGGATATTTGCAAAAGAACTGAGAAATAATTTTCATTTGAGCATCACTTAGAAAACATTTGCAAAATGAAGAGTTGTCGTTCTGTGATAGAGCTAGAGCTACTATCACTTTTTTCCTAAACAGATATTTAAAATGTGTTAATTAGGTATACAAACTTTGGTATTCTGTTCACTTGATTAAAAACAAACATGTAATTTTTCATGTAATAAAAAAAGATTTGTTCTCATTTTAAAATAAAAAGAGACATATTAAGGTTAAAAGCTAAAATGTTGCTTCATGCCATTAATTTGGTCATTTTCTTCTCCCATATTTATTATAAATTAAAAGGGGTTTTTGAAGTCTTTAAAAATTTTATAATTTAGAATGAGATACTAAAAAACAATTTTTTTCCCCTAGTGCTTCTAAAGAAGTTATTAAAAGTTGGATTATCAATGGCCTGCAGAATCTGTGGGCTTAAGCAGCCAATTGAGAATTTACTGGTGTGATTTTTTAAAAATTACATATATATTTCCTGAGTGTCTCTCAGGAAAGATATCAAAATTAGTATAGTTGGTATAATACCCATGGAATAAATAACCCTTTAGCAGTTAAAGATTAAATTTGGTTCAAATGTTGAGCATGTTGGTAACACAATAGGAATATTTATTATGACTTTAAAAATTTTCTAAAAACATGAATATATTGCCTCCATGCTGACTTTAATAATTAGTTCACTATAATAGAATTAACATTTAACATTTTTATGCATATAAAATATGCATATAAACATATATGCATACATATTTTATATGCATGTATATATTATGTACCTAATTATCACACTTTAAATATTTAACATATTTTATCACTTGTTTCTACATAACAAGAAAAGGTTTATGAAAAATCCATATTAAAATAAACAACAATTAAAAAGTCAGTGGTCCTCACTTATCACACATTGGCCTCATCTTTACCTAATAACAAGAAATATATTTAAAATTGGAGTGGTTAATAAATGCTTGTTAACTAGTCTATTCTTTTTCCTTTTTTTATATTTTATTTTTAATTGACAAATAATTGTATATATTTATGGGGTAAATGTGACGCTATGATGCATGCATACATTGTAGAATTATTGTATCAGGCTAATTAACATATCCGTCACCTCACATACTTATTTCCTTGTGGCAAAAAGATTTAAAATTAGTCTTTTAAGAATTTTGAAATATACAATACGTTATTATTAATTATAGTCAAGGTACTTTGCAGTGGATGGCTAGAACTTATACCTCTTCTTAAACTGGAGCTTTGTACTCTGACGAACAATCTCTTCTTTCCCTGTCCACCTCCTCACCTTTACCCAGCCTTTGTTAACTACTGTTCTACATTCCACTTCTATGAGTTTGACTTTTTAAGATTTACATATAAGTAAAATCATGCTATTTGTTTTTCCATGCCTGGCTTATTTCCCTATTGATGGGCATTTAGGTTGTTTCTATATCTTGGCTATTGTGAATAGTGCTACAGTGAACACAGGAGTGCATATATCCCTTTAACATACTGATTTCAATTCCTTGGGATATGTACCCAGAAGTGGGATTGCTGGATCCTATGGCAGTTCTACTTTTAGTGTTTTGCAGAACCTCCATGCTGTTCTCCAAAATGGCTATACTAATTTGCATTCCCATCAACTATGTACGGGGGTTCCCTTTTCTCAATACCCTTGCCAGCTTGTTATCTTTCATCTTTTTGATAGTAGCCATTCTAACAGGTGTGAGGTTTTCTCACCGTGGTTTTAATTTGTATTTCCCTGATGATTTGTGATGTTGAGTATTTTTTTAATGTATCAAGTTGGCCATTTGTATGTCTTCATTTGAGGAATGTCTATTCCGGTTTTTGTCCATGTTTAAAAAATAAGGTTGTTTTCTTGTTATTGAGTAGTTTGAGTTTCTTGTATATTTTGAATATTAGTCCTTTATCAGATGTATGATTTGCAAATATCTTTTGCCAGTCTGTGAGTTGTCTCTTCATTCTGTTGATTGTTTTGATTGCTGTGCAGAAGACTTTTAGTTTGATGCATTTCTATTTGTCTATTTTTGCTTTTGTTGCCTGTGCTTTGGGAGTCATATCCAAGAAATCATTGCTGAGACCAATGTCAAAGAGGTTTTCCCTCGTGTTTTCTTCTAGTAGTTTTAGTTTCAGGTCTTATGTTTTACATCTGTCTTTAATCCATTCTGAGTTGATTCTAGTATATGGGGTGAAATAAGGGCCCAATTTCATTCTTCTGTATGTGGATAGTCAGTTTTCCTAATACTTGGTTAAAGAGACTGTCCTTTCCCCATTGTGTATTCTTGGCACCTTTGTGGAAAATCAATTGACCATAAATGCATGGGTTTATTTCTGGGCTATCTATTCTATTTCATTGGACAATGTGTCTTTTTGTGCTGCTACTATGCTCTCTTTATTACTATAGCTTTGTAATATATTTGAAATTAGCTAATGCAATGCCTCCACCTTTGTTATTTTTGCTCAAGATTGATTTGGCTATTTTGGGGGTCTTTTGTGGTTCCATATGAATTTTCAGGTTTTTCTATTTCTATGAAGAATGACATTGGGATTTTAATAGGGATTGCCCTGAATCTGTAGATGGCTTTGGGTAGTATAGACATTTTAACAGTATTAATTCTTCTAATCCATAAACCTGGGATATCTTTCAGTTTACAGTCATGTGGCACATAAGGACATTTCAGTCAGTGACAGAGTGTATATTAGTGGTGGTCCCATAAGATTGTAATGGAGCTGAAAAATTCCTATCATCTGGTGATGTCATAGCTATGGTAATGTTGCAGTGCAAGGCATCACTTTTTCTATGTTTAGATATACAAATACCATTGTTTTACAGTTGCCCGCAGTATGCAATATGGTAACATGGTATACCGGTTTATAGCCCAGGAGATATAGCCTAGGTACGGAGAGGGCTATACCATCTATGTTTGTGTAAATATACTCTATGATGTTCGTACAGTGACAAAATCACCTAACAACACATATCTCAGAATGTATCCCTGTCATTACATAACTCATTACTGTATTTGTGTCATCCTCAATTTGTTTCATCAGCCTTTTAGAGTTTTTATTGTACAGATCTTTCACCTCCTTGGTTAAACTTATTCCTGAGTCCTTTTTTGGTGCTATTGTAAATGGGATTATTTTCTTAATTTCTTTTTCAGATAGTTCATTGTTAGTGAATAGAAATGCTACTGATTTTTGTATGTTGATTTTGTATCCTGCAACTTTACTGAATTCATTTATTGTAATCGTTTTTTGGTAGAGTCTTTAGGGTTTTCTGTACATGAGATTTTGTATGTCTTCAACAAAAAGAGACAATTTCACTTCCTCCTTTCCTGTTTGGATTTCTTTTATTTCTTTTTCTTTTCTAATTGCTTTGGCTAGGACTTACAACAGTACATTGAATAGAATTGGTGAGAGTGGGCATCCTTATTTCAGTCCTGATCAGAAGCTTTCAGCTTCTCACCGTTGAGCATGATGTTAGCTGTAGGCTTATCATATATGGCGTTTATTATGTTGAGGTACGTTCCTTCTATACCTGATTTGTTGAGAGTTTTTATTATGAAACATTGTTGAATTTTGTTAAATGCTTTCTCTACATCTATTGAGATGATTATATAATTTTTATCCTTCATTCTGTTAATACAGTGGATCACATTTATTGATTTGTGCGTGTTGAACTGTTGTTGCATCTCAAGGATGAATCTCACTTGATCATGGTGAATGATCCTTTTACTGTACTGTGGAAGATGGTTTGCTAGTGTTTTGTTTGTTTTTGAGACTGAGTCTTGCTCTGTCTCCCAGGTTGGAGTGCAGTGGCGTAATCTTGGCTCACTGCAGCCTCTGCCTCCCGGGTTCAAGTGATTCTCCTGCCGCAGCCTCCTGAGGATCTGGGATTACAGGCAAGTGCCACCACGCCTGGCTAATTTTTGTATTTTCAATAAAGACAGGGTTTCACCATGTTGGTCAGGCTGATCTCAAACTCCTGACCTCGTGATCTGCGTGCCTCGGCCTCCCAAAGTGCTGGGATTACAGGCATGAGCCACCATACCAGCTGCTAGTGTTTTTATTGATAATTTTTGCATCTGTGTTCAGGAATATTGAACTGTAATTTTCTTTTCTTTTAGTGTGTTTGTCTGCCTTTAATTTCAGGGTAATGCTGGCCTTGTAAAACGAATTTGATGTATTCCCTCCTCTTCAATTTTTGACAGTTTGAAAAGAATGGGTATTCTGCATTAAATGTTTGGTTGAAATTCACAGTGATGCCATCTGGTACTGGGTTTTTATTTGATAGGAGGAAACTTTTTGTTTATTACTGATTCAATCTTCTTACTCTTTATTGGCCTATTCAGATTTTCAGTTTCTTCATTATTCAGTCTTGGTAGGTTACATATTTCTAGGAATTTGTCCATTTCTTCTAGGTTATCCAATGTGTTCTCATTTTGCTGTGTGGTTATTCTGAGGATTACAAAAAACACAGTAGGCTATTTTAAGGTGATAACAATTTAATTTTTACTGCATGGCTGAACTCCACACTTTTACTCTCCCTGCTCCCACTATTTATGTTCTTAATGTGATAAATTACATGTTTTTATAATGTGTATCCCTTAGCAAATTATTGTAGCTATAGTTGTTTTTATTAGTTTCGTCTTTTAACCTGTATACTAGAGATATAATTGATTAATAACCTGCTATTACAGCATTAGAGTGATTTGAATTTGACAGTACTTTTATTAGTGATTTTTATGCTTTCTGATATTTTCTTTTATTAATTAGTATCCTTTACCTTCAGCTTGAAGAACTTTCTTTAGTTTTTCTTGTAAAGTAGTGGCAATAAACTCTTTCACCTTTTGTTTGTCTGAGAAAGTCTTCATTGCCTCTTTGTTTTTGAAAGATAGCATTGCTGAGATAGTATTCTTGGTTGACAGTTTTATTTTTCTTTTGGGATTTTGACTATATATTCTACTTTCTTCTTGCCTACTAGGTTTCTGTTGAAAACTTCATCGATAGTCTAGTATGGGTTCTCTTTTATGTAACAAGCTACTTTTCCCTTGATGCTTTTAAAACTCTTTGTCTTTAACTTTTGACAATTTGATGATAATGTGTCTGTGTTAGTCCATTGTGCATTGCTATAAAGGAATACTTGAGACTGGGTAATTTATAAAGAAAAGAGATATATTTGGTTCATAGTTCTGCAGGCTGTAAAAACATGGTGCCAGCAACTACTCGACTTCTGTTGAGGCCTCAGGACGCTTACAATCATGGTGGAAGGCAAAGGGGGAGTAGGTGAGTCACATGGTGAGAGAGGGAGCAAGAGAGAGGAGGAGGTACCAGGCCCCTTTAAACAACCAGTGTGAACTAACAGAGTGAGAACTCACTCATTACCATGGGGAGGGCACCAAGCCGTTCATGAGGGATCTGCCCCTATGACCTAACAGCTCCCACCAGGCCTTACCTCCAACAATGGAGATCACATTTCAACATGAAATTTGGAGGGGACAAACATCCAAACTATATCATTCCACCCTTGGACCCCAAATCTTGTTCTTCTCGCACTGCAAAATATAATTATCACTTCTCAATAGTACACTAAAGGCTTATTCCAGCGTTAATTCAGAAGTCCCAAGTCTCAATTCCAAAGTCTCATCTGAGACTCAAGGCAAGTTCTTTCTACCTGTGAACCTGTAAGACAAAAAGAAAGTTATTTACTTCCAAGATACAATGTGGTACAAACATTGGGTAAATATTCCCATTCCTAAAGGAAGAAATTGGCTAAAAGAAAGGAGCAATGGGTCCCACACTTTAAAGCTCCAAAACAATCTTTGACTCTCTGTCCCATATCCTGGGCACACTGGTATGCCAGATGGGCCCCCAAGGCTTTGAACAGCTCTGTCCCTCTGGCTTTGCATGTTGCAGCCTCCATGGCTGCTCTCAAGGGCTGGAGTTGAGTGCCTGTGGCTTTTATAGGCTCAGGGTGAAAGCTGCCAGTGGCTGTGTCCTTCTGGGGTCTGGAGAGTGGGTTCATTCCCACAGCTCCCCTGAGCAGTGCCTCCAGGTGGACTGTTTGTGGGGACTCCAGTCCCACATTTCCCTTCAGTGCTGCCCTAGCAGAAGCCTGTTGCAGGAGGAGAGCCTTTGCAGAGAGCTTCTGCATGGGTACCCAGGCTTTCTCATGCATCCTCTGAAATCCAGGTGGAAGCTGCCAGGCCTCCTTCATTCTTGCATTCTGCATGCCTGCAAGCTTAGCACCACATGGAAACTACAAAGGCTTATGGCCTATGTCCTCTGAAGCAGTGACCTGAGCTGTATCTGGGGCCCTTTGAGCCATGGTGAGAGCTAAAGCAGCCAGGATGTGGGGAGCATTCCTGAGGTGGTGCAGGGTGGTGACACCAAGTCCCCAAAACCATTCTTTCATCCTAGGCCTCTGGGCCTGTGATAAGAGGGGCTGCTTCAAATATTTCTGAAATGCCTTCAGAGCCTTTTTCCCATTGCGTTGGCTATTAGCATTTGGCTTCCTTTTAGTCATGCTAATCTCTCTAGCAAATGGTTGCTCCACAGGCCACTTGAATTCCTTTCCTGAAAATGTTCTTTCATTCTCTACCACATGGCTAGGCTGTAAATTTTCCAAATTTTTATACTGTACTTCTCTTTTCAATATACGTTTCAACCTTAAGTCATTTCTTTGCTCCTATATCTTATTGTAGACTGTTAAGAGCAGCTACATCACTTCTGGAACATTTTACTGCTTACAGATTTCTTCTGCTGGATACCCTAGGACATCACTCTTAAATCCAGATTTCCACAGATCCTTAAGGGCACGGACACAGTGCAGCCAAGTTCTTTGCTAGGGTGTCACGTGAGTGACCTTTACTCTTATTTTCCAATAACTTCCTCATTTTCATCTGAGACCTCATCAGCCTGTCCTCTGTCTATATTTCTGTCATCTAAGACCTCATCAGTATGTCCTCTGTCTATATTTCTGTCAGCATTTTCATCACAAGCACTTAAGTCTCTAAGAAGTTCCACTTTCCCTCGTTTTCCTGTTTTCTTCTGAGCCCTCCAAACTCTTCCAATCTCTGCCCATTACCCAGTTCCAAAGCTGCTTTTACATTTTCAATTACCTTTTTAGCAATGCCTCACTCTTTGTTACCAACATTCTGTGTTGCTTATTTTGTGTTGCTTATAAGGGAATACTTGAGGCTGGGTAATTTATAAAGAAAAGACAAATATTTGGCTCATAGTTTTCTGCAGGCTAAAAAGCATGGCACCAGCATCGGTTTACCTTCTGATGAGGGCCTCAGGAAGCTTACAATCCTGGTGGAAGGCAAAGGGGGAGCAGGTGAAGAAGAAGAAGTGAGAGAGGAAGTGAGAGAAAGAGGAGGAGATGCCAGGCTCCTTTAGATAGCCAGCTCTTGTGTGAACAAAAAGTGAGAACTCACTCATTGCCAAGACATTCATGAGTGAGCTGCCCCATGACCCAAACAGCTCCCACCAGGCCTTACCTCCAACAATGGGTGTCACATTTCAACATGAGACTTGGAGGGAACAAACATCCACACTATGTAAGTGTCTAAGTATGGGACTATGGAACTCTTGAGTTCATCTTATTTGTTGTCCTTTGGGTTTCTTGGATCTGGATTTCTATGTCCTTCCCCAGGCTTGGGAAGTTTTTTTTTTATTATTATTATTTCTTTGAATATGTTTTCTGTTCCTTTCACTTTTCTTTCTGCAATTTTGATGATGGCATATTGTTCTGTTGATGGTATCTCATAAGTTCCATAAGCTATCTTCACTCCTTTTCATTTTTTTTTTCTTTCTGCTCCTCACATTGGATGATTTTCAGTTACCTGTCATCAGGTTTACTTATTCACTTCCACTTCATATAGTCTGCCATTGAACCCCTCTATTGAATTTTTTCATTTCTCTTATTGTATTCTTTGGCTATATGATTTTTTAGGTACTTTTTTATACTTTCTTACTCTCTTTTGTTGAAATTCTGTTTGTTCTTGCATTATTCTCCTGACCTTGGGAGCATCTTTATGACCATTATTTTGAATTCCCTCTTGGAAAAACCATATATCTCCATTTCAGTAGGATCAGTTTCTTGAGATTTATCTTATTCTTTTATTTGGAACATATTTTCCTATTTCTTCATTTTTCTTTTAACTCGCCGTGTTGGTTTCTGTACATTAAGACAGTAACCTCTCCCAGTCTTGTCAAACTGGCCCTCATGTAGGAGATCTTACCAATTCGTACAGCCAGAAATTATAATGTATCTCTCAAATCTCTGTGTACAATCTGATATCTCTGTTTTTGGTGGCCCCAGAAGGTTAAGATGTGCCAAGTCTTGTTAGTACCATGAGAGCAGTAAGACAGTAGCCACGCTCTCTAGATGCAGCTGAAAATATTAGGGTGTTAGATGCATGTTCCAGTTCCTTCTATCCTCAGGGTGAAGCTGAGAGCAGGTATTTATCCCTTACTGCGCTAAAGCAGGCATTATTTATCTGCACTAAGGCAGGCATTTATCTCTCTCTACTCTAAGCCAGGGAGAAGCTCTGTGGCAAATACCTATACTACTGTCATTCAGACTACATCCTCTGAGGGTATGGCCACTGGGAGTGGGCCCGTTTTATATCTACCTCTTTGTTTTCTGTGGTCTAGAGAGACTTGGAAATGCAGAGCCAAATCAGCTCCCAGAGCTGGGTGGCTAAGGAGGTAGTCCTTATATGAGAGCTGTAGAAGTTATGTCACTAGATAAGTGGACAAACTACTTTTAGGAAGCTTCTGTAGACTTGGAGTTATCGCTGGGGCAAGCTAGGGGAGAAGTCTTGGCAAGTACCAAGCTCTCATTTAGGCTGCCAGAGGTGTATTGTTTGGCTGCCCCATTAACTCCCTGATGCAAGTTAGTTAGAAGCCAGACCATCGAGTATTCACTGGAAGAATGTACAAAGAAATCCTTTTTAGTGAAAAATAGAACTGTGTGTTTCAGCACTTTCTCTGCACTGCTTCCAAGAGGTGTAGTCCCTGGAACTGCTTGCACTCCTGTTTAAAACCACCTCTTAGGATTGTGATCTGGGGAGATTCTTATATGAGACTCTTGTATTCCTAATCCTTTCTATTCCTAGAGCTAGGAGGTTTAAGATGCAGTCCCTCAAGTAGAAGTTATAAAAGTTGGGGTGCTTGATGCATGGAAAAACTTTTTCCAGGAGGAATTGGTAGACTGGAGTTATTGATGGAGTGAGCCAGGGGAATAGGCTTGGGGGCTGCCAAGCTCCCGTTCAGGCTGCCAAAGGTTATGTTTGTCAGCCCAGTTAATTCCCTGATGCAGGCTTGTATGAAGCTCAACTGGTAACAGCAGCAGTTGACAGAGTACATTGGCAACCCCTTCCAGGCAGAAACTGGGAGCTTTGAGTTGTAGGCCCTTCTCTACCCTGATCCTGGGGTATGAAGCCTCTGTAAGTGCTTACACACCCATATATAATCACCTCTTTGTTCTGTGGTCTGGGGAGACTTGTGTATGCCTCTAATCCCTTCTGCTTCTAGAGGCAGGTGAATTAAAAGCCACACTGTGGGGAATCTTAGAGTTAGGGTGGTAAATATGAGGTCCAAACCCTTCTCTCCTCAGGGAGAGGATAGGTGTTGGGGATACCTTCTTAATTGGATGGCACAGTGCCTGGGGTGGGGTTTGGACCTGAGTGTGCCTCAGCTTTTCCTACCTAGTCAATGTGGATATTTTCTCAGTTGCCGGATACAGAAAAGTCTCTCAACTTGTTTCTGACTTTCTCTCAGAGGGAATTGATCTGTGTGTCAATTAATCAATTCTCAGAGGGAATTGATTAGTGTGTCCCTATGTGGAGGGAGAGTCAGAAGCCTGCCATGTTGGTGATGTCACTCTCCAATTATTATTCTTATTGGAAATGTTACATTGACTCAGTTTTTGGGATTACCATAGTAGAAATTGCATTGCATAATATTGTTATATTGGGATCTTTGTCCAGAGGCTATTTGGAAGCTCCAGACTGTTTAGAAGACCTGGACAGCCAGAAAGTCATTAGTCCTATCCAAAATGAAGCAATTTGTGCAGGAAAAACAGATATTTTATGGAAGAACTGTGAGTTTCTGGTAAATCGAATGTGCCGTCTTGAAAGCCTCATGCAGTCCTTGAAGATGAACATCTTTCGGCTGCAAACTGAAAAGGATTTGAATCCTCAGAAAACAGGTATAGAGATAAGAATCATCAGAAATGTGGTCCTGTATAGGTGCTTGATTTTCTTTACTGACCTTCTTTCTGCTGCTTGATGCCCCTCCTGTGCGGTCTGGTAGCTTTTCTGAAAGATCGACTGAATGCAATACAGGAAGAGCATTCTAAGGACCTGAAGCTGTTGCATCTCGAAGTTATGAATTTGCGCCAGCAACTGAGAGCTGTAAAAGAGGAAGAAGACAAGGCACAAGATGAGGTGCAAAGGTTGACTGCCACTCTGAAGATTGCCTCGCAGACAAAGGTTTGAGTCTAAGAGTTCTGAAGTATAAACACACTGTTATGTGTTAGCTGGAGGAGGTAACAGACCTATGACGCGACTTTTAAAAATAGGTGATGTTGATATGAGGATTCTTGGCATTTGACATTTGGCATGTTGATTTGAGGATTCTTGGCCTATGACATTTGCACTGATAACCTAAACCACTGTGTGCTATCTGTGATTGATTATTTGTACAACCCTTACCCCATACAAGTGATGGTGTGGGTCCAGAGGTATGAGATAGAGCCTGTGCTCTTCAGGAACTCATATGCTAGTTGGGAGAACAAGCTACAGCATGAGAAATTAAATAAGGAAAAAATAAGAGTATAGGAAATGTTACAGAATAGGATAGGACAAAAAGTGAATATTGCCGAGTAAGGGCTTTGTGTTCAGACATGTTTGAGAGGGTGAGGATGCTCTATCTAGAATAGATTAGGCAGGCTTCAGGGAAGGGATAGGACCTTTAGAAGCAAGGTGTAGGGGTGAAGACATTTCAAGGAGCACACGCAGAGGCAGCAAAGAATAAGGACTACTTGGAAAAGAAACTAACAATGTTGTTCTCCCTTCATGTCTAGGCAATGTAATGGATGTTCAATGTGTTATTTTGTTTAATCTTTGCAAAATCTTGTGAAGTAGGATATTATTATCCCCATTTTTTAACAATGATAGTACTGGGTCCCTGGGATAAATCAGTTGTCCAAGATCAGACATACCTGTTGTCTTGTTGTTACCCGGGTTTGAACCTGGATCTTTCTACTCGGTACAGCTAGGAGAAATATATAAACTAGCCTTACAAGAGTGAGGATTTGTTTGTGGGAAATAAGTTGGATATTAGCTAGCAATGACATTATAGAGTATCTGAAAATCAGAAATAATTAGTAGTTGGGGTTGATCCTGTGGGGAGCGATTGAGATTTTTGATATGGAAGTGACATAATGAAAACGGGAAAACAACTTTAGCAGTATTATAGGGTATTGAAAATAGGGAGAGAAATTGGAGGCAGGGAAACCAATTAGGAATCCATTGCATTATTTGAGGCATGAGCCAAATTAGGTCTGATCTAGGGTTGTGGCATTTTGAAAGGAAAGAGGAATGTTCTGTAAAAAAAAGGTATGCTCGAATATGGTACTGGGAGGGACTAAAGGCAGTAAAGAAGGCAAAGATGGCTCTGAGGTTTTACATCTGAGATTGTGGTGCCATTTATCTTAATAAGAAAGAGAATAAGTAGGGAAAGCTGTGTTTTTCATCCTCAACTTGTAAGCACGAATAATATTTGAAGCTGGAAAAATAGAGTTCTTTAAAAAATTAAGAATATACCGTGTAAGTAAAATGTCTGTCAATTACCAGATTGACCTCTAATTATTGAATTTTATATAGGAGGTGGGTGCGATTAATCACTGTTTATGATATAAAAGAGGAAATTATAGAAATCATGTATCAAAGTAATAAAATAACTTTCCTGTTAAGTAACTCCTGGTAATAATTACTTCAGACTTATAACAAGGAGTATTTATAACCATATTAAAAATAGCATTTATAGGTTGCCAGAAAAAAACCTGATTTGATCTGATATACCTATAGACAATTTCTTCCTGTCATTTCAGATTATTTAGAATCTTTTCTCCTTCTACTTTTAGAAGAATGCAGCCATTATTGAAGAGGAACTGAAGACCACAAAACGTAAAATGAACCTTAAAATTCAAGAGGTAAGACAAAAAGATGGAGGGTGGAGGAGGTGTTGGAATTGCAGAGGGGAAATCAAGAAAGCAGAGAGAATGAAAAGAAACCTTTGAAGAAGAAAATATGTGACTATGTAGTAGGAAGACTTTAAAAATATGCCACATTGAATTCAAGTGAAAGTGCCTGCCCTTACATGACATTAAGACTTCCTTTTACCTCAATACTGGCATAAAACTAGAAATAAAAAATAAATGCTTTGTGAACCAGGAAGGAATAGTTACCACTCGTGGCTGCCCGTACACCATAGTTAAGTGGACACTTTCTTGCAAAGTCCTTTTAATCTAAAGTTGTATTTAAAATAAAAAGCTATTAATAAGTCTGTTCATCTAATTTTACCTTAAACTTTCATTTCAGCTTGTTTTAGTAGATAGCAGATTGGGAAATATGAAGTAGGTGGCTGCTAAAAGCTGTTGGACTAAAAATTTGCAACTGAAAACAGTGGAAGAATCAGTAGAATTACTAACTCAATATACTCTGGCAGTGGCCTGAAACCTCAATATTCCCTGACATAATAGTATTAATAATTGATGTTAGTTCAAATCTAATGGGTCAAATTATATTTAAAAGATTCTGTTAATACAAAATAGAGAAGTAGACATACTTTTTAGGAAAATTCTTATGCAAAACTATTTTTAAGGTTATAAATTTTAGTGCTTAGGTGGTAAGCATAGGTATTTGGAAAATTGTCTTATACTGAGTACTTTATTTGCCAGTAATTACTGATAAAAGCTTGATGCTCATAGTTAGAATGTATTCAGTTTATTTCTAAGATATTGTACTAGACTATTTTTAGGGCAGTTTTAGGTTTACAGAAAAATTATGCAGAAAACACAGAGTCCTGTATACCCCTCTCTCCACTCCTGCAGTTTCACTATTATTAATATCTTGCATTAGTATGATACTTTTGTAACATTTGATGAGCCAATATTGAGCCATCATTTAGTGAAATATGTTAAGATTCACTATTCATCATGCTGTAAAGTGCTATGGGTTTGACAAATGCATAATGCCATGTATTTATCATTACAGGATCACACAGAATAGTTGCCCTGCCCTAAAAATGCCCTGTGTTCCACCTACCCATCCTTCCTCATGTCTTCCCCTGAGCCCCTGACAACCACTGATCTTTTTATTGTCTCTCTAGTCCTGTTATTGTTGGAATCATAGAGTATGTATGTAGTCTTTTTTGTACTGGCTTCTTTTATGCATATGCGCTTAAAGTTCCTTCATGTTTTTTCATGGCTCAGTAACTCATTTCTTTATATAGCTGAACAATATTCTATTGTATGTACCACAATTTGTTTATCCATTCACCTATTGAAGGACATATTGGTTGCTTCCAATTTTTGGCAATTATGAATAAAGCTGCTATAAACATTGTGTGCAGGTTCTTACATAGACATACGTTTCCAACTCATTTGGGTAAATGTAATACCTAGGAGTGCAATTGCTGGTTCATCTGGTAAGCCTATGTTTAGCTTTGTATGAAGCTGCCAACCTGTCTTGCAGAATGACTGTATCGTTTGCATGCCCATCAGCAAGGAATAAGAGTTATGGTTGCTGCATATCCTCACCGGCATTTGGTCTTGTCAGTGTTTTGAATTTTTGCCATTCCAATGGGTATGTAGTGGCATCCTGTTTTGATTTGCAATCCCTAATGATATAATGACACTGAGAATCTTCTCATGTGTTTATTTGCCATCTGTATATCTCCTTTGGTGAGTTATCTGTTAGACTTTTACCCCATTTTGTAACTGGGTTATTTCTTATTGTTATGTTTTAAGACTTCTTTGTATATTTTGGATACCAGTCCTTTATCAAAGATGTGTTATGCAATTATTTTCCCCTGCTCTATAGCTTATCTTTTTATGCTCTTAGCTGTCTTTCACAGAGAAGGAACTTTTAATGAAGTCCAATATATCAATTTTTTTCTTTCATGGATTGTACTGTTAGAATTGTATCTAAAAAGTCGACAAACCCAAGTCACTAAGATTTTCTCTTGTATCATCTTCTAAGAGATTTTATAGGTTTTCATTTTACATTTAGGTCTTTGATCTATTTTGAGCTAATTTTCATGAAAGGTATGAGATCTGTATCCAGATGAATTTCTTCTTGGCATGTGGATGTCCAGTGTTTCCAGCACCATTTGTTGAAAAGACAATCCTTTCTCCTTTGGATTGCCATTTAACATTATTTTTTACTGGGGAAGTCTTATTCTTAATTCTTGGTTCTATGATAAAGTCTTGAATTTTGATTAAGCTCTGTCAAAGACTTGCAGAAGTACTATGCTAGTCAAACATGGGCATTCTGAGGGTATGTGAAATAGAAAGGGTGTATTAGTTTGCTGGGCTGCCATAACAAAATCCTAAAGACTTGGTGGTATAAACAGAAATTTATTTGTTGAAGTTCTGGAGGCTTGAAGTCCAAGATCAAGTTGTTAGCAGATTTGGTTTCTTCTGAGGCCTTTCTCCTTGGCTTGCAGGTGTCCGCCTTCTAACTGGGTCCTCACATGCTCTTTTATTTGTGTGTACCCATCCCTGGTGTCTCTGTGTGTCCAAATCTCTTCTAATCAGGATATGGTCAGATTGCATTAGGGTCCACCCCAATGGCTTCATTTTAATTTAATCACCTGTTGAAAGGCCCTGTCTCCAAATAGAGTCTCATTGTGAGGTAGCAGATGTTGGGCTTCAACATAAGAATTTTGGAAGACACAATTCAGCCTATGACAGAGGGTTATATACAGATAGGAGAAGTGTGGTATTTATCTTCCTAAGAGATAATAAATATATATAAAATAGATACAAAATCTGGATGTGATAAACATTAAATAGATTAACTTATTGCCCTTAATAGTACTTCAGAAACAAATACTTCATTAGTAAATGATTCTCTTTGTAATGTACTTTTGTACGGCACATTGTAGGTATATCACGTATAAAAGAGGAAAATGTCTCTTTTTAAAAGTGGCCGTTCTTTAAAAAGGTGGCCAGCTGAATGCTTTCAAGCCTACATAATGGGGGTGATTAAAACAATTTAAAAGAGTGAAATATTTAATTCTGAATGAACTAGAGATTGAATCACATTTGACAGTAATGCAACTAAAATTTAAATGAGTTGATGTCCTGGGTATTTTGAAACTTTCAAGGAATAAATTATATCTTGAACAAATTATAGTACCTAATTTGATATAAAGTTTAGGAAAGTATATTAAGCTACTCTATATGATAAAGTAATTATAATCTGATACTAAAATCTGAAAAAATATAACCACAAATAAAATGGCTCATTCTTACATAAGATTGTAATATTTAACTTATCATTGGATAAGTAAGCAATTTCTAAGCTTAAAAAGAATAAAATTATAAAATGGTCAATAGATTTGACCACATAAGAATACTTCTATATATAAAAAGCAAAACTAATAAAGCAGCAGTCCCTAACCTTTTTGGCACTAGGGACCAGTTTCTTGGAAGACAGTTTTTCCATGGGGTTGTGGGGGTTGAGGGGAATGGTTTTGGGATGAAACTGTTCCACCTCAAATCATCAGGCATTAGTTAGATTCTCATAAGAAGCGTGCAACCTAGATCCCTTGCATGCACAGTTCACAATAGGGTTCACAGTCCTATGAGAATCTAATGCTGCCACTAATCTGACAGGAGGCGGAGCCCAGGTGGTAGAGCTGGTACACCCACTGCCCACCTGCTGCTGGGTGGCCTGGTTCCTAACAAGCCATGGAGTAGTACCAGTCTGTGGCCCCAGGGGTTGGCGACCCCTGTAATAAGGTATTATAACACAAATAGGCAAAGTGTTAATAGTTTTCCCTTTTAAAGAATTTAACAGCCTGGGCAACATGGCAAAACCCCATTTCTGGAAAAAAAAAGAAAAAAGAAAAAAAGCCAGGCACAGTGGTGTACACCTGTGGTCCCAGCTACTTAGGAGGCTGAGGTGGGAGGATCACTTGAGCCTGGGAGGTCGAGGCTGCAGCGATCATGCCACTGCACTCCAGCCTGGGCCACAGAGTGAGATCCTGTCTCCAAAACCCACCCACAAAAACTTAAAACTGCCAGGCATGGTGGCTCATACCTGTAATCTCAGCACTTTAGGAGGCTGAGGCAGGAGGATTGCCTGAGCCCAGGAGTTTGAGACCAGCCTTGGTAACAAAGTGAGACCCTGGCTCAACAACAAATTTTTTAAATTAGCTGGGCATGGTGGCACACTCCTTTAGTACCAGGTACTCAGGAGGCTGAGGCGGGAGGATCACTTGAGTTGGGGGAGGTCAAGACTGCAGTGAGCCATGGTTGCACCATTGCACTCAGCCTGGCTGACACAGTGAGACCCAGTCTCAAAAACAAAAACAAAAACAGTAAAATTGTCTAAAAGTGCCCAAAAAACAATGGACAAAAGATAAGTATGACAGTTTATTACATAAATATATATAAAGAGTTGATAACTATATTAGAAGATATTTAATCTCACAGTAACCAAAGAAATCCAAAATTATTAAGATGTTAGTTTTCATTTATTGGATCAGAAGAGATTTAAGAAAATTTTAATACATAGTACTGATGAGATTTATTCAAATACTATTGATAAGAAGGTAATAATTGGAAAATTATGAAGGTAATAATTGAAAAAAGAATCTTATAGGAATTTATCTTAATGAAATAATCAGAAATGTAAGGAAAGATCTACTCACAAGTATGTTCAGGAGAGCAGTATTTACAGTAGTGAAAAATTGGAAAAACCCTCATGTCAAAGATCAAGGATATGATTTAAAAAGTTATGCATTTCCAAAATGAGCAATCTTGTAACAGTCATATCCCAACACATTTTTTACCTCTTTTAACCTTTAAAAAATGTTTTAAAAATTATAAAATATATTATCCATAGAGAAAAAAATGTGTACAATTTAGAAAACAGGTATAGTATACTCTTAATGTCATCTACGCTGGGGTTTTAAAATAGGATTTCTTTCAGTTTCACATCACTTCTTAAAAGGAATAGCATTCTCTGCAATTCCCATTTCAATTGGAAAGGATCTCTTTACCTAATAATAAAAGAGACTCTTATTAATGGAAAGGATCTCTTTACCTAATAATAAAAGAGACTCTTAACCTTCTTTATATTTTATGTGATTCTTTTTATAGTCACTTATTGACAGAAATAAGGTCAGTGTGCCTCCAAAACAGGGAAGAAAAAAAAAAAGTGTGTTTTTCTACTCTCACATACCTCGCAGCAGAACACTTCTGACACCTGAAGACACACCAAGAAATTCTGTTCTTCAGTGGACACCAGTTGAGTGTCCTGTAATTCAATTCAGTCCTGACACTGACACTATCTACCTGAAGACAGGTGAGGACTCAGTCTCACAAGATTGCCCCCCACTTTAGATGCCAATTGCAAGCCCCAAGTTGTCCTTCTGACTGACTTGCAAAAAATCGATGTTCCCATGATGCCCCTCTGCAAGTTGAAATAATTTGCTGGAACAGCTCAGAGAATTCAGAGAAACGCTTCACTTGCATTTACCCATTTGTTATAGAGGATATTACAAAAGATACAGTTGAGCAGCCAGATGGAAGCGATGCATAGAGCAAGGCATGTGGGAAGGGACGCAGGCCCTTTCTGGGGCTAACCACCTTCCAAGCACCTCCATGTGTTCAGCTGTCCAGAAGCACTCTGAACCCAGTTCTTTTGAATTTTTATGGCGGCCTCATTACATAGGCATGATTGATTAAATCATTGGCCATTGATGATCAACTTACCTTTCAGCCCTTCTCCCCTCGTTAGAGGTTGAGAGGAGGGGCTAGAAGTCCCAGTCCTCTAGTCATGCCTTGATCTTTCTGGGGACCAGCCCCCATCCACAGCTACCTACCTTCCCCCACCCCCCAGCCAATCAGTCATTAGCACACAAAAGACACTCTTATGAGGTGATTCCAAGTTTTTTATGAGCTGTGTGCCAGGAACGAGGGTCAGAAATGAAATATATATTTCTTATTATATCACAATAGCACAGTACCCAAATTCTTTGAGTGTCGGTTTGGTCTGCTACTTAATGGTTACTTCATTATTTGTTTAGACCTCTAAATTCCAGAATAGAATGAAAACAGTTTTCAGAGCGATGTGTATAATACTGCAGGATAAAAAATATGTAGATAAATCAAAATACAGGAAAATAAGAGTTGAAAATAAAGTCAGAAAATATAGAAATACAGAAAATACACACTAAGGTAAGATACTAGTGTTTTTCAAACTTTTTTTGACAATCCATTGTTGGACATATATTTTACACTGCAACACACATACATATACACAAACATTTCCCAAAGCAGCACTTACCCTTACTACTTGCATGCACTCTGATATTTTCTTTCTACTCTTTTATTTTTTCCTTTTTCTGAGTGCTTCTTTCAATTTACTAATGGATTTTGACCTCCAGTTTAGAAAACAGACCTAAATTATAGGAGGATGGGTGCAATAAGTTTGATCTACATTCCTTAGGAGGTAATCCTAGGCAATCTAGGGAGAAACAAAAGCTTGTTTCTGAGTAGTCATAAATGAATTAAGACTGTTTGGGGGTGAGATGGCATGTCTGATAAACTTCTCAGGTAACTTTGATCTTTGTTAAACTAGTATGATCAATTGGTCTTGCCTAACTGCAGTGTTGCTTTGTAGCTAAGGAGACAACTGGCTCAGGAGAAGTACCTTAGGGAATCTTTAGAGAAATCAGCATCAGCCATGCTCCTCAAAATACAAGAAATGGGATCAACAGTGGAGGTAGAACGAAAACAGGTAGAAAGATTTCTTCTCCTTATGTGGTTTGGGAAATGAAACCAAACAAAAACTGATATTTTACCTATAAACTTAAAATTTTACTAATTGCCTCTAGATTTATTAAAATATTTACTTTTTGTTAGCAATATGTTAACAATCTTACTACAGTTTTTTTTAAGTTAGTGCAAAATAAGAAAGACCCTAATGTCATTATTCAACACTCTTAATTTATGAATCAGAGAGCTAAGGACTAGAGAGGTTAATTTACCTCAGGCTTTATAGAGGTGAACTCTTAGCTCCTAAGAGAAAGATAAAGTATTTTTCCCTTATACCATACAATCTCTGTTATAGACATTGATTTTGGAAGGCATTGCCCTGGTCTCATGCTGTATATGTCTGACATGGATAGAAAATAAAGTCTAAAGCGATCTAACACTGGAAGCATATCAATAAGTAAAACAATCAGGACTATATTTACACTGCTGTTTTCAATTATCATTATTTATTTTAACATGATATTTTGCCTTCATATTTGTTATTTGAAGTACCTACAAATAATTTAGAATACTTTAAATTCTAACCAAGTCAGTTCATATTTTCATATTTTAATATAATTGGATGACATAATCTTTATTATTTTAACCAATGGAAAAAGTTTCCCTTCATAACTGAATTATAACAAGGATTCTACTTTAGGAATTGCAAATGATCCTTTGTTGCTGTAACTTGCAATGCCAATATGGTAGCCATTAGCCACATATGGCTATTCAAATTAGTTAAATAAAAGATTTATTTTTTCACACTAGCCATATTCAAGTGCTCAGTAGCCACTTGTGGCTAGTGGATTATTGCATTGGAGAGTGCACAGAAGGTTCTATTGGATGGCACTGCTCCAAGACCGCATTCTGTTGAGATTTTAACTGTAACATAGACTAACTTCTTGTTGCTTCTCAGTGACATTAAGGTTGGAATGTTGCCTTATACATGTGCTATAAGGCAGCTTATTTGAAATCTTTATCTCACAGAAAAAGAGTTTTTCTTATACAATTTCAGGTGCACATTTTGCAGCAAAACTGCATTGCTCTACGTGATTCTATACAGAGCGCTCAAGAACTACTGGCCCAGGAACAAAAAAAAAAAGAAGAGTTGGAGATTGCTACTTCACAGCTCAAATCTGATCTAAGTATGAAAATAGATGCTAGAAATCACCCTCTTGTTAGTTTTTGGAGATTTCATGGAAAAACTCTTAAGATCCCAAATTCTTAAAGTGGCCAGTGTTATTGGTATTTCCCACAGTGCTGTATGTAAAACATTGCAGATTTCCCTTCTACCTGCAGTACTGAGATACAGAAGGATTGTTGTTAATAATATATTTGACCCTGTTAATTGTAAACTATTCCTTATTTGTTTTTTTCCAGCTTGTTTGTGGACCTGGGAATATTTGGTTTCTAGACATCTGGCTTGAATATTGGGCAAAAAAAGTAAAACAATAGATTGAATATTTGATAATAGAATATTAGTAAGGTAGTAAGGCCATGAATCCTTGATGACTTATGGATTCTGTCAGTTCATCATGTCAGATTCTCCATTCTTCATGTTATCAATCTATTTTGGTTAACCTATATTTGTAGAGATGGATAGTTGTAAGGTACCTTTAAGAGAGCTTAGATTAATCTCCTCTTTTTATAGATGAGTCCTCAAAGATGACAGAGCTAGGAAAGGAAGGAGCCTAGACTTGATCCCAAGGTGTTCGGTCATATTTCTTCTAACCCATCAGCCTTTTATCATACTACTGTTGCTAGTACTTCATTATAAAGCAGTTTCCAGGTAGTCTCAATGACAGAGGTCACAGAGTTACAGGGCAGTGCTTCATGTGATTAATACATCATGGTTTACACTGAACTTTCACATAAACTATTTCATTCAGTACTCAAAGCTATCCTTCCAGAGTTACAAAAGGAAAAAATGGCAAAGTAAGACCTAGACCTGGATCTTCTAACTCCAAGCCGAGTGTACTCTCCAGTTCACCTTCTGTGCTCTATGGCTGCTGTAATGGGGGCAGAGAATACCAAAAAGGAAATGGAAATTATAAAAAATATAGAGCAAGAGTAATCTATTCAATGTTTTGACTTACTGCTTTTAGCAGAAAGTATTCCCTTTTCTTATAGTAGTGAATTACTGTGTGAAGTTCTCACCGACAATGCCCCTGGATAATTTTCTGTCTTTCTGTAATTGTGTGCCTACAAAAATACATGTATATTTTATGGTGCTGCCACATTGTCTCATTTGAGCACTGCAACAACCTGTCAGAAAGATAAGAAAATACACACATTCTATAGAAGATACAAAAGGGGTTGAGCGTGGTGGCTCAGCCTGTAATCCCAGCACTTGGGGAGGCCCAGGCAGGCGGATCATGAGGTCAGGAGATTGAGACCATCCTGGCTAACACGGTGAAACCCCATCTCTACTGAAAATACAAAAAATTAGCCAAGTGTGGTGGCACGCGCCTGTAGTCCCAGCTACTTGGGAGGCTGAAACAGAGAATCGCTTGAACCCAGGAGGCTGAGGTTGCAGTGAGCCGAGATCGTGCCATTGCACTCCAGCCTGGGCGACAGAGCAAAACTCCATCTAAAAAAAAAAAAAAAAAAAAAAAAGAAGATATAAAAGGATCCACACTGACTGTACCCAAAGACCCACAGCAAGTAGAATAGCTGGGCCTAAAACAGGTATCTATTATATTAGTTGGCCCTCTGAATTTTTATGTTACTTTCTTGTTGGATTAATGCTTTATTTTTGAATTTTGTAAAGAGTTTGTGCAACACCATTAAAAAATGAAGATTAAAACAACAATAATTCAAACTGACATGAGGAAAAGGAAGCCTGTCTGAATGCCAGCTAGGTGCATAATATTGAATTATAGACTTGACATATATGCAATTTTATTACTTTAAGGTACAAGTAGTTGTTTGAGCTACATTAATAAAAGGAATGCCTTTAAATATTTGCTTCAATGAATTAAAACATGTAATTGTTTATCAACAATAAGCATTTATATACAGATTTATAGTACTTAAGATGAATAAATTGTTCTTCAAAGTAAGATAAACACTCCCCTTTCATTCTTAACTTTGGTTAGTAGAATTTTCCCGAAGTCATATAGTTCATCTTTTTTACCCTTCATGTATTTTAAATTCGAGTTTATTCTGATGAATTGTGGATTCATGTGTTCAAAAAGTACAGTTTTTCTAAGGTATATCCTATATAAAATATCAGTTTTTATGTGTTTTATGATTTCTGGCTTTAGAATATTTAAGTGAAACAAGACTGATATGAATTTTTCTGTGAAGGCAAAACATTACTCTCAGATAAGTTTACACTTTTTGGCTACTAGTATATAATACCAAACTGTTCCACAATTTTCTGTCTTTGGTTTTCTTTTCACTGTACATGCTCTGAGTGGTTTCAAATCTTTTTTTCTGTACAAAATCATCCTCCTGAGTTCTAGACCAGTATCTTACTGCCAACTAAATATCTACATTTGGATGCCTTGCAGATATGTCAAAACACATAGAAAACTTGTGTTTCACTCATTCTATCCCCGAAACCTGCTCCATGCTGTGTATTCCCTATTTAGCTGAAGAGTCCACTGTTTACCCTGCTGCCCAAGTCTGAATGCCAGATGTTCTCCTTGTCTCATCTGTTGTTTTACCCCACCAGTAAGCCATCAAGTCCAAAAGTGCTCTCTGTTTACTGTTTCACAGATCTGTTTTTCCTCTGTGTCTCTGTTGTCATGACCAGAGTCGGTCCTCATCGTCATTACTTTATTGAATTGTCATTTACTCATATGTCAGTTACTTTAACAGCTACTAAATTCATCTCCTTGCCTTTATTGTACCTTTGTTACAGTGATCTTTCTAACAAAAATCTTTTGATCATGCCCCTCCTCAGCTTAAAATCCTTCAGAGACCTCATTTACCATTGCAAATGACTGTGGACTAGTTTCTTGGTAATTCCATAACAGTTTCTAGTCTATAAAAATATTATAGAAATAGTTGGGTTCTCCTTATCTCTACAAAAAATAGACATAAAATATTTAAAGCTTCTCACTATGTGATTTTAATGTAGCAAGTTACTATTATCATAGTTATGTGGAATTTTTGTTTTTAGCTTCTAGAGATGACCTCATTTCCAAGTTGGTTGAAGAAAATAAGGTGAGTTTTGAAGTTGTGGAGTACAGAGGTGGTCTTTCCTCTCTTCACTAAGTCCTATTTCCTCTTCCATGTTGGCTTACAGTGCTTCTTACTCTCATCAAAGTTTTATTTAAAAAGTTTCATGTAAATGAGTAGTATATTTAGGATAATAGTATTAGGAACTAAGAAATCATTTCATGAAGGTTATTAGAGTTTGAAAAATGTAATTTGGCAAAAATAAGACTTATTTGTGTTTTTTGCCTATTGTAAACTAATTGTTATAAAATAAACTTAATGAAATGTAAGAAATATAACTACTTTTTGGTGTTGGTGGTTGCACAACAGTATGAATGTGTTTAATGACACTACACACTTACAGTGATTTGAATGATAAATTTTGTCATGTATATTTTGCCATAATTTTTAAAATTAAAAACATAATGATTTTATATCTTACTACATTTGTAAGTCTGTTGATGTGTCGATTCTACTTCTTTTGGATGCTATCTCATCCTGTGTTATATGTTGTCTGTTTTTCTTGAGATGCTTCTCCTGGGAAAATAGAAGGGTAGTTCTTCCTCTGTAGGAAGAAGATTTATACTTTGTCCTTCCCCATTCTGCTAAGTACCTTTTAGGGAAAGCCCCACCTACAATGCACATCTGTATCACTTCTCTCATCTCAAAGAAAACTAGCTTTTTTTTTTTTTTTCTATAACCACAGAACAAAGGTGTTTTCTTCTGCTCCACTCTCAGGTCCTTGTTTTTGAAAATATCTTCACTTATAACTTTAAAAGATCCTTGAATGTGTTCCTTTGAAGTCATAAGATCTTACTGCTAATAGGAAAAAATGTGTATGTATAATAATATAACAAATATTTAATCTTAGGGAGTAGAACTGTGATATAAAGATACTAGGTATATTTAGGCTATGGTTTTAGGCAAATTCTAACTGGAATCTCAATATAAGAATGGATTTAATAAACAGTTTTCAAAAAATAGGCTTTATTTTTAAGAGCAGTTTTAAGTTCACAACAAAATTGAACAGAAGATAAAGAGATTTCCCAAATACCTTCTGCCCCTATTCATGCATAGCCTTCCTCATTAGCCGTTTGATGGATGTCCATTTAAAAAATGGATGCACCATTTTACATCCCCCACCAGAGTGGTACCATATTACAGTTGATGAACCTATATTGACACATTATCACCCAGAGTCCATAGTTTACATTAGGGTTCACTCTTGGTGTTGTGCATTCTATGGATTTAAAGAAATGTATAATGACATATATCTACCATTATAGTAGATATGTTTTATAGTATCATTCAGAGTAGTTTCATTGCTCTAAAAATCTTCTGTGCTTTGCCTATTCATCCCTCCCTCCCCTTCTAATCCCTGGCAATCATTGATCTTTTTACTGTCTCCATAGATTTGCCTTTTCCAGAATGCCATATAGTTGGAATCATATAGTCTATAGCCTTTCAGACTGGCTTCTTTCACTTAGTAATAAGTATTTATGTTTCCTCCATGTCTTTTCATGGCTTGATAGCACATTTTTCTTTCTTTTCTCTCTCTTTTTTTTTTTTTTTTTTTTGAGACGGAGTCTCACTCTGTCACTCAGGCTGGAGTGCATTGGCACTATCAGCTCACTGCAACCTCCACCTCCTGGGTTCAAGCGATTCTCCTGTCTCAGCCTCCCGAGTAGTTGGGATTACAAGTGCCCTCCACCACGCCTGGCTAATTTTTGTATTTTTTAGTAGAGATGGGGTTTCAGCATGTTAGCCAGCTGGTCTCAAACTCCTGACCTCAGGTGATCTGCCTGCCTCAGCCTCCCAAAGTGCTGGGATTACAGGGATGAGCCATCGTGCCTGGCTGAAAGCTCATTTATTTTTAGTGCTGAATAATATTCCTTTGTCTGGATATACCACAAGTTATCCATTAACTTACTCATGGACATCTTGATTGCTCCAACCTTTGGCAATTATGATTAAAGCTGCTATAAGTATCTGTGTGCAGGTTTTTTGTCTGGGCATAGGTATTCAGCTCCTTTGGGTAAATCCCAAGGAGCATGATTACTGGATCATATGGTAAGAATATGTTTAGTTTTGTAAGAAATCACCAAACTGTCTTCCAAAGTAGCTGTACCATTTTACATTCCCACCAGCAGTGAATGAGAGTCCCTGTTGCTCCACATCCTTGACACCAGTTGGTGTTGTCAGTGTTCTAGATTTTGGCCATTGTAATAGGTGTGTAGTGGTATCTCATTATTGTTTTAAATAAACAGTTTTGATAAATAGTTTTGAAATAAACAGAAGTTTAGGAGTTGAAGATACCAAGATTTTTATACATTCTTTATAAGACATTTATAAAGTTCCAGTGTATGTCATTGGAACTTGAACTTGTACTGGCCGAAATACAAAACAGTTATTTTTATAGGGGTGCACATAGTATCTCTTATATGTGAAAAAGAGAGTAATTTTTTTTCTTATAGAACCTGCAGATATCTTTCAACAAGGAACATGAAGAAAATGCATATTTGAGGTCCGAAATAATGTCTCTTCATGAAGCATCAGAAAAAGCACAAGTAAATGCTCATGATTTTGTTAGTTTTTAGATGTTATTTAATTTTGTTCAATTAAATAACCAAGAAACAAAATTAGTCTTGATTATATAAATTCATACCATCTCCATCACCCAACTTTTCATTTCCATAAGATTTATTTCATCTTTGAAACATTATCAAATTAACTACGTTTCTCATTTCGCTCTCCAAATTCCTATGATATATAAGTATACAAGATGTACCACTATAATTATGCACTAGTTTACACTTTGCCTTTGCTTGCTTTCTAATTTGCTCATTAAATATATGTATTTCCCCCTCCAAAGTGAACTTCTGAATAATTCCATGGCAAGGGCTATGTCTTATACTTTCTTTGTATCTTCTATAGTAAATAATTATACAGTAGGAACCTAACAAATGCTTGCTGGATTTTGAAGTTAGATGTAATCATTTCTGGGATGGTGATTCCCAAATTTAGCTGATGTTTTATATATATGTGCATCTGCAACAAAAAGTCACCAGATATGCAGTCAAATTGGAGTTACTTATCACAGAGCCAAAAGAAGTGTTTATCATTTAAAATAACTTTTCTCTTGGTACAATTTGATTGTCTCAATATTAGGATCATAGTGTTGCTGGGCTCTGTGTATAATAAAAATAATGAAGTATAAAATGAATGTGTTTTTAAATATAATAACATCAACTACTATTACTCTTTCTATACTAATAGTAGGTAACATTTTTACTGAGCCCCTTCTACATTCCAGGCACAATTCCAGGCACCTTATATTAGTAACAAATTGTAATCCTCACAATAGCCCTATGAAATGGAAACTTATTCACATTTTAAAGATAAGGAAGCTGATGTACAGAGAAGTTCAGGAACATAGATAATAGGTGGCAGAGTTGGAATTTGAACTCAGGTAACCTGGCTCCAAAGAAAAGTAGCTATTTCTTTTCAAGGAGCAAGGGTTCTCTGTTTCGTCCCCAGGTATTCTTTGATGAATAGCTTGTACATCTGCATCTGGTGTGACTTTAAGCCCCTGAATTTGTTTCTAACTACTGTACTGCCTGCCCATACCACTTGTGATGTTTGCCAGATAATCTTTTATTTATCTTTTCTTTTACTCCATTTTATTTTTTGTGTGTTTTCTTCCTAGTGCTCTTTCAAAGTTGCTTGTTCTTGAAGAACTTGTTTAAAACATAAGATCTTTGCCAAATCTACCTTGCAAAAATAACTGATAATTGAGATAAATGTTTCTCTCAATAATACAAATTTCAAATTATGAAAAGAGAATTATTAACTACCTACATATATGATATATCTGTGTAGCTCAAACAATTTTTGTTTTATTTTGAAAGATTAATCTCGTGATGGTAAAATCATCTATATTTTGCTTTTATGAATATTGTCAGCTGGTGGTGAAGGAGCTTAGGTATTTTGTGTTACCAGCTAAATAATTCTGAATGCTCATGGATTTCTATAATATTGGCTAGGTACTGACATTGTAAATTCCATTTTGCAGATGTCTTGCTCTAATGAACCAGTGTTCAAATTTGTGAAGAACAGAAGATCAGTAAAATGCCATATGCTTCAGTTGCTCTACCAAATCAACAAATCTCTTAATTTAGAATTATTTATGGTGTAGACTTTTAATATTTGGAAGTATTTTTTAAACTAATGACATGTGAATTGAGGATAGGTTAAATAGATTAGTTTCATATATACAGTGAGATACTATGCAATCATTAAAAATAATAATACATAAGTAAAAATAATTCTTTATTGGAGAGACCAATGACTTGCTGTGTGTGTTTTCTTAGGTTTTGAATGACCAATTGACTAAAAAGTGTTCAGAGTTGAGCTGCATGCTTCAGACTGTTACTATGGAAAAAGCCAGAATCATTGCTGACCATCAGGCCATTCTGCAGGTATTCGTTTAACATGAAAGCCAACCAGAAAGCCAGCCTGGTTGATAGATCAGGAAATGTTTATGGCCAACTGGAGAAATAAAATATTTTAACAATAAATTTCAAAAAATCTACTGAATTATCTTAATTCTATTAGTGCTTTTCAATTTTCATCAGAGGGGTGATTTGGCCTTACACTCAGGGCTTTTCATGATTTCTTCTCAAATATCATCACTTGAGGAAAAATAATTATTTGTCCCATTGTTTATAGAATCATGGAGAACACGTATGACTAACCTTAAAGTACTTAACCTTTTCCTCAAACACCTTGCCGATTTCTCCTTTTGCTTATGCCATTTTCTCTGCTGAGAATGCTTTTTACTTCATCTTCAATATCTGAAATTCTGTTTATTCTTTAAGAGTCACTTTCATCAGGCAGCTTGATCATCCCAACAGGAAGGGATAAGTTTTCCCTTTCAACTTCTATTCCTGGGACACTAAACAGACCACCATAGTAATAGATCACTTTCTCTTTTTGTAAGCATACTTACTATATATACTAAGCATTGTGCTAAGGATTTTACACATATTACCTCCTTTAATTGTAGCAGCCATTATGTAAAAGGATATTTATTATCCTCATTTTACAGATAAGAAAATGAGGGTTAGAGAAGTTCACTTGCCCAAATTCACCTAACTAGTAAGAGGTAGAGTTGTGTTTTAACCTAGGGTGACTCCAGAGTCAATGTATATAATCATTATGCTGCATCCCTATTCTGCATTCTCTAGTAGTAATTTATGTGCTGGTTCATTTCCTGGATTACACTGTGAGCTCTCTAGAGGCAAGGACATTACCTTATATATCTTTATTTCTCATAGTGCTAAGCATGCTTTGCACATAACATATACTCAATAAATACTTAGTTTTTAACTCTGTGCAAGTATAATGCTATATCTAGATAGGATTATAGTGGTGAACAAGACAAAATTCCTACTTTCATGGACTTATAATTCAGTGGACTGAATATATAGTGAAATATTTATTACAAATATTTCAAAATTTTGGAATATAACAATTGGGATCCCATTTTACCAGTGTGAAGACTTGCTTTGCAATCAAATATTGTTAAAATAGAAGTTTTTTAAAAAGTATTTATAAAACTAATTGTTGATATGTACTGTATTTGCAAAAACTTTATGGATTATGTGTAGGGGTATATGGTACATAAAAATGTCATGTTTTGATAATTCCAAAATGGTGAGCCAAAGAAAATAAACTATGTAAAACAGTTATAGTGCTTCTGCTGTAACATTATCTGAGTGCAATTTAAGATAGTCTTAAAAGAATTCACAGCAAACTGTTAAACATGATAATCCTTAGAATGTGGGATTATTTGGAGGGGAAGTGCAGATAGAGAGGAAAGGATCTTTTCACTTTATATACATTTATATTGTTTTACTTTTAAAAATAAAGTACCATATTGAAATTTTAAAATACCAAAATTACTTGTAATATAATTTTCTATATTTAAAAATTTGTTGGTATTAGGAGTTTTATAATTTTTCAGCAGGCTGGGTAAATAATGCATCTTGACTATTGGCTAGTAGAGCTATAAAATGATAGAACTAGTCAACTCAGAGGAGGACAAAGAGAAACTGGGCATTGAAATAAATTGTTTTAAAAAGAGGTTTTATTTATGTAAATGAAACTTGTTTTTTTAAGTTAGTTCAGTGTTTTTGATCAGTTACTCCAAATGACACCCTATCAAAAGACTTTGTGGAGCTTCAACTTCTAATATTGCTTTTAACACTCAGGTAGAGCAGAAAATGATGACGCAGACATTTCAAGAACAAAACTTATTGCTGGATGCAGCCCATGCCAGTATCACAAATGAACTACAGACTGTTCAGAATGAGAAAACCCAACTCCAGGCACATCTGTAAGTAAATTATGGGCAACTTCTTATACATCTTTTGTTCTTGCATGTGTGTTTCTTATCATGTGTCCGTCTCAGTCTTATCGTCAATGAAAACATTTGATTCTGCATTTTTTGGGCCAGCCACAGAGCTAAAATAAAGACTCTGCCCTCAAGAAACTAGTTTTGTTAGAACATTTTGGTAACTACTCTCAGTCAGGAAATATGTTCTATAAGAACATTTAATTGCTCTTTCTGTTAAATTAGAACTCTAATTTAGCTTTCATATGTTCTTGATCTCTTCCTGCAGGGATCATTTAATCCTTGAGCATAACCAGTGTATCCAGAAAGCACAGGATGCTGAAAAGAGAACAGCTGTGCAAAAAGAGCTGCTAGAATCAACTATTGCAAGATTGCGAGGTGAATTGGAAGCATCAATGCAAGAGAAGAAGTCTCTGCTAGAGGAGAAAGAAAGATTTCAGAGGGAGGTAGGTAGAAGCAAATTTACATTATCTTCTCATTGTGGTGTGATGATGTTTTAAAATTGCATTCTAAATGCAAAAGACAAGAAAAGAAATAAAACCCAGATGCAGTTTGTCTGAGTTGCCCAGTAAAGAATCTTTAGGTGGCTAACCTATGCCTTTTAGCATGTGAAGTAGTCTGTGCCAAATAGAACAGTATATACTTATCCGGCGTTAGTGAATGTTAACTAGTAATTCACACATCCTGGTGTTAGTTAAGGGGTCAGATTTTAAAAATTGATTTCCCCTGAAGGAGTGGGACAGCGAAGGTTAAGGGGGAACAGCCCTGTCTTCCTACTTAGGAAGGAACCAGCAGAGTCTGACATGCAGACGTGTCTTTCTAATTTCAGGGCTATTTGTGAAGTCTGCTCTGCCTCAGAGACTCCCTGATTGGCCCCTTTTCTGAGAGGATGTGCTATCTCTGCAGTGTAGGTATTAATTGACATGCAGGATATGTGTGCTATAGTGGAGCCTGTCAGCTGCTATAAAATTGACCTATTCCTTTTTTTTCCCATCCTCCTTGGGCAGGTTAATAAAACAGAAAAAGAAATAGTGCAAGAAAGATGCAATTTGGAAAAGGAATTAGCTAAAAACAAGGTATTCTTCATTTTACTTACTGATATTTCACTATATTTCCTTCTGTATTGCTGACTACCGTATCAGCTTATCTTAATGAGGAGATGGCTGATGAATACCAAGCTGCAGGGAAAGGAGAGCTATGAAGCTGGATGCCACTCAGAGCACACCAGTCACTGCAGCAGAAGGTTGTTTCTGGGGAACATTTTCTTGTTGAGCATCTGATGTTTGCCAGTGAGTCATCACTGCCTCTGGCCCTAGTGTTAACTGAGGATTCTAGCCAAGAAGTCACCTGAGAGTTAGCTAATGGGCCTGTGAGAGGCAAAGAGATGATTGCTGACTAGGCTGTTTTTAAATAAAAAACTAACGGCTGGGTGAGGTGGCTTGCGCCTGTAATCCCAGCACTTTGGGAGGCCAAGGCAGGTGGATCATTTGAGGTCAGGAGTTCGAGACCAGCTCGACCTACATAGTGAAACCCCATCTCTACTAAAATACAAAAATTAGCTGGGCATGGTGGTGGGCGCCTGTAATCCCAGCTACTCGGGAGGCTGAGGCAGGAGAATCGCCTGAACCCAGGAGGCAGAGGTTGCAGTGAGCAGAGATTGCACCACTGCACTCCATCCTGGGCGACAGAGCAAGACTCCCTGTCAAAAAGAAAAAAAAAATACAAAAAACTAAGGCTGCCTAAGTACCTATCAGCACCTGCCACTGTATCTTCGAGGTACCATTTTCTGGGTTCTAAAACAGTAGAATGTCCAGAGAAACAAATGAAATCCTTATTAAAATTAAACAAGAACCAATCTTTAAAACATTGCTGTTTGCGTTTCAAATTTTGAAGAGAGTAAAGATTATGTATCACTGTCATCTGGAGAATATATCTGGAGCAGCAAGGAGTTATTAGCTTACTTAGACAAGAAATCCAGCAATAGGTATTGGGTATAGTCATCAAACCTTGACTGTTTCTTTGCTTCTGGTTTGCCCAAGTAGCATTTGTATTACCATATATACATGTAAACTTTTAATTTAAGGATTGGAGAGAGGAGAAATGCTAGAGTTTGAGCCTGAGCTCAAATGCAGTTACCACCAAGCTAGCAGGTGCTTTCTCTGGTTCTAGTGATATGAAAATAGTCCACCCTAAAAATCCTCAAATGAGGCTGACTTCCTGTGGCAAGGACTTTGGTGGTATCAATTTGACCTCAACCATGCTTTCTAAAATTGGGAAAATTGGTGACTACTATTAAATTCAGTAATGCTTTTTGCTTAAAAATGTTAGTGAATGAGAGTGGGCGTGGTGGCTCACACCTGTAATCCCAGCACGTTGGGAGGCTGAGGCAGGCAGATCACTTGAGGCCAGGAGTTTGAGACCAGCCTGGCCAACAAGGCAAAACCCTGTCTCTACTAAAAATACAAAAAAAATTAACCAGGTGCGGTGGCGCACACCTGTAATCCCAGCTACTCGGGTGACTGAGGCATGAGAATTGCTTGAACCTCGTAGGTGGAGGTTGCCAAGATTGCACCACTGCATTTCAGCCTGGGTGACAGAGTGAGACTCTGTCTCATAAAAAAGTTAGTGAATGTTACATGGCCAAGGCAAATGCTGTGAATATGTTTGAGATAAAAACATAGCATTATTATTTTGCTTGTCTGATTTCATTCGTCTTAATGTAGACTAAGTGTAAGTTCATGGTGCTGAAAGATACTTGTTCATTAGAGACTTTCTATGAAGCCAAATGATAGTGCTTATAGAGAATCTCATTTTGTGGTATAAATTGATTTTTAAAATATGTGTTCTTTTAACAGTATGCTTTTTTAAAAAGTCAGGTTAATTGTTATAATTTACATACAGTGAAATTCACCCTTTTTTAGTGTATAGTTCTATGAATTTTGACACATAAAATCATGTAACCACCACCACAATCAAAATATAGAACATTTTTGTCACCCTGAGGAAGTTCCCTTGTGCCCTTTTGTAATCAATGCCTTCTTCCACCTCCTTCCCCTGGCAACCACAGATCTGTGTTTTTGTCCCTGTAGTTATAAATTATCCAGAGTGTCATATAAATAGAATCATACAGTATGTAGCATTTTAAATTTAATTTTTTTCATTTAGCATAAGGCATTTGAGATTCATCCATGTTGTGTGTCAGTAATCTGCTCCATTGCCTGGATGTATCAGTTTCTTTATCCATTCACCAACTGAAGGACATTTGGTTTGTTTCCTGATTTTGGCAGTTAATAAAGCCTATATAAATATTCAGATATGCACATATGTATTTCTGTTGGGTAAATATCAAGAGTTGGATTTCTGGTTCCTGTGATAAATGTATGTTTAGCATAATAACAAACTGCTCAGCTGTTTTTCAAACAATCTGTACCATCTTACATTTCTGTTAGTAATTCATGAGTTCCAGTTTCTCTACATTCTCACTAGCACTTGGTTGTCAGTTTTTTAGTTTTATCTATTAGAATTTGTGTGTAGCAGCGTGTCACTGTGGTTGTAATTTGCATTTCTCCAATGACTAATAATATTGAGCTTCTTTTCATGCACTTATTTGCCATTACAAATTGAAGTATCTCATCAAATCTTTTAACCATTTTAAATTCAGTTGTTTTTCTGGAGTTTTCAGAGGTTTTAAAACATATTCTTATAATCTTAAAAATATTTTTACTGTTTGTATATATACAAGTCTTTTGTCAGATATGTGTTTTATAGATCTCTTCTTCCATTTTATGACTTTTTTCATTTTCTTTCAAAGAGCAGAAGTTTTAAATTTTAATGAAGACTAATGATCAATTTAAAAAATTTTGTGGATCATACTTTTTGAATTTTTGCCTAACCTAGGATCACCACAATTTTCATTTTTGTTGTCCTCTAGAAGTCTTATAGTTTTAGGTTTTATAGTAAGTCTGTGATCCATTTCAAGTTAATTTTTATGTATCATGCAAGGTATTGTTCAGGGTTCATTTCATTTTTTTTTCAGGGTCTCACTCTGTCACTCAGGCTGCAGGGCGGTGACACAATCACAGCTCACTGCAGCCTCCACCCCCCCAGGCTCAGGTGATCCTCCCACCCACCTCAGCCTCCTGAGTAGCTGGGACTGCAGATGCATGCCACCACACTCAGCTAATTTTTTTATTTTTTGTAGAGACGGAGTTTTGTTATGTTGCCTGGCCAGTCTCGAACTCCTGGGCTCAAGCAATCTGCCCAGATATCTCAGCCTCCCAAATTGCTGGGATTACAGGCGTGAGCCACCATGCCCAGCCTAGTACCTTTTTAAATTTCTCCATTGGTGGGCTTTCAGGTTGTTTCAACTTTTTGGGTATTAATGATTCTGTGAGCATTCGTATACAATTTTTTTGTGTAAACATATGTTTTCAGTTGTCCGAGGTATAACCTAGGAGTGGAACTACTGGGTCATGTGATTACTCCATGTTTATCATTTTGAGAAACTGCCAAACTCTTTTCCAAAGTGGCTACACCATTTTACAATCCCACCAGCAATGTTTGAGAGTTCCAGTGTCTCCACATCCTTACTAACACTTGTTATTGTTCACATTTTTAAAATACCCATCCTAGTGGGTGTGAAATATCTCACTGTGGTTTTTTAATTGAGGTGAAATTCACATAATATAAAATTAGCCATTTTAAAGTGAACAATTCAGTGGTATTCAGTACATTTGCAGTGTGGTGCCACCACTGCCTCTGTCTAGATTCAAAATATTTTCATCACCCCAAAAGGAAACCCTGTACTAGTTAAGCAGTCACTCCCCATTCCCTCCTTCTCCCAGCCCCTGACAACAACTAGTTGACATTCTGTCTCTATGGATTTACCTATTCTGGATATTTTATATAAATATAATCATACAATATTTGATTTTTTGTGTGTGGCTTCTTTTACTTAGCATGATGCTTTTGGGGTTCTTCAACATTGTAGTATGTATCAGTACTTCATTTTATGGCTGAGTAATGGTGATTGTATGTATGTATGTGCACGCACACACACATACACACACACCAAATTTGTTTATCTGTCCATCTGTCAAAGAACATTTACACTGTTTTTACCTTTTAGCTATTGTGACTAGTGCTGCTGTGAACCTGTATATACATATATTTCAGTACCTCTTTTCAATTCTTTGTGATATATATATCTAACAGTGGAATTTCTGGGTCACATGGTAATTTTATGCTTAACTCTGAGGAATCACCAGTTTTCCACAGCACTAAACCATTTTACATTCTCACCAGCGATGTACAAAAGTTCCAGTTTCTCCACATCCTCACAAACACTTATTTTGTGTTTGATTATAGCCATCCTAATGGGTGTGAAGTGGTACCTCATTGTGGTTTTGATTTGTATTTCCATAGTAACTAATGACGTTAAGCAGCTTCTTGTGTGCTTACTGGCCATTTATATATCTTCTTTGGAGAAATGTCTATTCAGATCCTTTGTCTATTTTTAAAAGGGATTATCTTTTAATTATCAACTTGTATGAGTTTTTTACATATTTTAGATACTACAACCTTATCAGATATGATTTGCAGGTATTTTCTCCCATTCTGTGGGTTGTATTTTTACATTGATAATGTCCTTTGATGCATAAAAGTTTTAAAAATTTTAAGTTTGGTTTATCTGTGTTTCCTTGGATTGTTTGTGTTTGAGTATTATAGTTGAGAAACTCTTGCCTAACTCAAGATCATATAGATTTATACCTATTTTATATTTTAAAATTTTTTTAATAGTTTTATGTATTAATTTAGGTCTTTGATCCACTTTGAGTTTATTTTATATGTGCTATGAGGTAAGGGTTTGACTTCATTATTTTGGCTACAGATATACAATTGTCCGAGTACTGTTCGTTGAAAAGATCATTCATTCTTTCTATGGAATAGTTTTCACTCCCCTGTCAAAAATCAATTAATCATAGATATGTAAGTTTATTTCTAGACTCTTAATTATCTTGCATTGATCTATATGTCTGTCGTTATGCTAATACCACACAGTCTTGATTACTATTGTTTTGTAGGAAGTTTTGACGTCTAAATGTGAATCTTCCAACTTTTTTTTTTGTTGTTATTTTTTAAAGATTGTTTTAGCCATTCTGGGTCATTGCATTTCTATATGAATTTTAGGACCAGACTCTCCATTTCTGTAAAAAAGAACAGCTGGAATTTTGGTAAGGTTTACATTGAATCTGTAGATCAATTTGAAGAGTATTACAATCTCAATAATACAATTTGTTGTATATTTTCTGTATAAAGTATGTCCTCACTTAATGTCATCAGTAGGTTCTTAGGTTTCAATTTCAAGTGAAACGACATACAGCAGGTCCTTGAATAACATCATTTCATTCAGTGTTGTGTTATGATGTTGATAAGAAAAAAATGGATTTTGTTATGCATTATCATTTCACTTGAAGTTGCAGTCTCCAAGAACCTATCAATGACAGTGAGGACTACTGTATAAGATAGTGTCATCACTATAACTATCTCTATAAACTATATCTCTATAAATTATCTCTATTTGTAATAGAGATAGTTATTTTTTGTAGAGATGGAGTTTTGTTCTGTTGCCTGGCTGGTCTCGAACTCCTGGGCTCTCTATTTGCTATGTCTATTTGTAATACAGATAGTTTCACTTCTTCCTTTCCAATTTGGCTGCCTTTTATTTCATTTTCGTATATAATTGCCTGATAGAATCTCCAGTGCAGTATTGAATAGAATTGGTGAGAGCAGACATCTCTGTCTTGTTTCTGATCTTCGGGGGAAAGCTTTTAGTTTGTCACCATTAAGTATGATGTCAACTGTGGGGTTTTTTCAATGCTGTTCATCAGGATTAGAAAATTCCCCTCTATTCTCAGTTTGTTGGGAATTTTTGTCATGAAAATATGTTGAATTTTGTTAAATGCTTTTGCTGTGTCTATTGAGATGATCTTGTGGGTTTTGTTCTTTGTTCTATTACTATGGTGTATTACAGTGATTGACTTGAAATGGAAAACTAAGCTTGCATTCCTTGGATAAATTTTATTTGGTCATGTTGTCCTTTTTATATGTTGTTGCATTAGGCTTGCTAGTATTTTGTTAAGATTTTTTGCATCTATATTCATAAGGGATACTGTTCTGTAGTTTTATTTTCTTGTAATCTTTTTGGTTTTGGTATCAAGATAATATTGGTCTCTTAAAACCATTTGGTAAGTATTCCCTCCATTTCTATTGTTGGGAAGAGTTTGTGAGGGATTGGGGTTAATTCTTCTTTAAATATTTTGTAGCATTTACCAGTGAAGCCATCTGGTTCTGGGCTTTCTTGTATGTAGAAGGTTTTGTTTCTTTGTTTGGTTTATTATTTTTATTCTTATAGGTCTATGCAGATTTTCTACCTTTATTTGAGTCAGTTTCAGTAGTTTGGTTCTTTCTAGGAATTTGTCCATTTCATCTAGGCTATCTAATTTGTTAGCATACTATTTTCAGAGTAGCCCCTTGTCTTTCTTTCTGTAAGGTCAGTAGCAGAGTTCTCTCTCTGACTGCTAATTTTAATAATTTGTGTCTCCTGTATTTTGTTCTTGGTTAGTCCAGCTAAAGGTTTGTCAATTTTGTTGATCTTTCTAGAGAACCAACTTGTGGAAGTTTTTATAGATTTTTCTCTATCTTATTTCTGCGTTAATCTTGTTACCTTCTTTATGTTTGCTTGGGGTTTAATTTGCTTTTCTTTGTCTAGTTTCTAAAAAAAAGCTTAGGTTATTGATTGAGAAATATTTCATTTTTTAAATGTAAGTGCCTATAGGAGTCACTCTGAACCTATTCTGGTTCAGGGGAGTGCCCATAAAAAAATAAAAAATAAGTTTCTGCAGCTATAAATTTCCCTCTCTGCACTGCTTTAGCTGCATATGAGATGTTTTGTTATTTTGTGTTTTCATTTTTGTTTATCTCAAACTGTTCTTTAATTTCCCTTGAGATTTCTTTTTTGACCCATTGGTTGTTTAGAAGTGACATGTTTAGTTTATTCACATATGTGAATTCCCCAAATATTCTTTTATTGATTTCTAATTTTATTCCATTGTGGTTGGAGAACATACTTTGCATGATATCAGTCCTTTCAGATTTATTGAGAGTTGTTTTGTGGTATAACAGGGTTATACCCTGAAGAATGTTCCATGTGCATTTGAGAAAAATGTGTATTTTGCTATTATTGGGAGGATTGTTCTATAGGTGTCCGTTAGGTCTACTTGGTTTATAGTGTTGTTCATGTCTTCTGTTTCCGCATTAATCTTCTGTCCAGTTGTTCTGCTGATTAATGAAAATGGGGTATTGAAGTCTCCAACTATTACTGTTAAATTATTTATTTGTTCCTTCAATACTGTCATTTTTTGCTTCATATACTTGTGGCCTCTGTTAGGTGCATATATATTTATAAATGATACATCTTCTTGATGAGTAAACACTTTTTCAGTGTATAATGCCCTTTATCTCACCAGTTTTTTCTTAATGTCTATTTTGTCTAATATTAGTACAATCATTCTAGCTCTTTTTAGATTACTGTTTAATTTATATGGTATATATTTTTCATCCTTTTGCTTTCAACCCCATTTGGGTATTTGGATCTAAAGTGTATATTTTATAAACAGCATATAGTTGTTTTTTTAAAAACTAATTTTGCCTATCTCTGTGCTTTGTAATTGCAGTGGTTTAATCCATTTGTATTTAATATAATTACTGTTAAGGTAGGATTTATATCTGCCATTTTGCTTTTTTTGTTTCGTTTTTTGCTTTTTGTTCCTCTATTTCTCAATTAGTGCCATCTTTTATGTTAAATATATATTTCTAGTTCACCATTTTAACTCCCTTATCATTTCTTTTATTCTGTATTTTGGTTTATAGGTAACAAAAAGAATTACAAACAAAAATATATACTACCTTTTATATACACCTATGTTGCTACCTTTACTGTTACCTTTTATTTCTTATGTGGATTCCAGATATTGTCTAGTGCCCTTTTATTTTAGCCTAAAGAACTTCCTTTAGTATTTCTTACAGCGTATGCTTTCTAGCTTCACAATCCAAACCCCATCAAAAATGGGGACCTGGAGAAATTACTCCACGTTTTAGGTGAAGTCTGAAGAACCACATTCTCAAGAGTGTGTTTAAACTAGAAGAAAAGCTCTTGTATGAATTATTTCCATTTTTATTTATCTGGGAATGTCTTAATTTCTCTGTTGTTTTTGAGGATAGGTTTGCTGAATTTAGAATTCATGGTTGAATGTTTTTCTTTTTCTTTTCTTTTTTTTTTTTCTGAGACAGTGTCTCGCTCTGTCACCCAGGCTGGAGTGCAGCGGTGCCATCTCGGCTCACTGCAAGCTCCACCTCCCGGGTTCATGCCATTCTCCTGCCTCAGCCTCCCAAGTAGCTGGGACTACAGGCGCCTACCACCACGCCTGGCTAATTTTTTTTGTATTTTTAGTAGAGACGAGGTTTCACCTTGTTATCCAGGGATGGTCTTGATCTCCTGACCTCGTGATCCGCCCGCCTCAGCCACCCAAAGTGCTGGGATTATAGGTGTGAGCCACCGCGCCCAGCCGGTTGAATGTTTTTCTTTCAGCATTTTGAATATGTCATCCCACTGCCTTCTGGCCTCAACTTTCTGATGAGAAATCAGCTGTTAATCTTACTGAGATTATCTTGTACATCAGGAGCCACTCCTCTCTTGATACTTTCAAGATTTTGTGTCTCTTGCTTTCAACAGTTTACTTATGTTTGTTTTGGGGCATGTCTTTTACACTCATTCCCACAGTTGGCAACTGTCCTTTAGCTTGCATTTCTGATATCACATGATCAACAAACTGCTGCTGGAATGCTTACACCTGTTACTGCAAATTCAAAACCCAGGAAAGACTTCTCCTGGGAATTTACTTTATGTCAGGCTTGGGCTGCCTGGTACATGGCTGCACCCACAGCTGGGCAAGTTCAACAACACAGTAGCCTTTCCACAGACTATGATTATTGTAGCTTTATAATAAATCGTGAAATTAGGTAGAGTCCTCCAACGGTGTTATTTTCCTAAAGTGTTTTAGCTATTTTAGTTCATTTGCTTTTTCATGTATGTTTTAGAATGACCTTAATGATGTTTTGTGGGGATTTCAACTGAAATTAGAGTTAACATCTCAGCAATATTGAATCTTCTAATACAGTTAGGTTGTCACTTGATGGAGATACATTCTCAGAAATGCATCTCTGGGCAGTTTTGTTGTCGTGCAATAGAGAGTACTTACACAAACCTCAGTGGTCACACCTAGGTTTTTTTTTTTAACTTTTAAGTTCAGTGTACATGTGCAGGTTTGTTACATAGGTAAATGTGTGTTACGGGGATTTGTTATGCAGATTATTTCATCACCCAGATATTATTATTTTTCCTGATTCTCTCCCTCCACCCACCCTCCACCCTCTGACACACCCAGTACTTGTTGTTCTCCTCTGTGTATCCATATATTCTCATCATTTAGCTCCCACTTATAAGAGAACATGCAACATTTGGTTTTCTGTTCCAGTGTTAGTTTGCTAAGGATAATGGCCCCCAGCTCCATCCATGATCACGAGGACGTGATCTCATTCTTTTTTATGGCTGCATAGTATTCCATGGTGTATATGTACCACATTTGCTTTATCCAGTCTATCATTGATGAGCATTTAGGTTGATTCCATGTATTTGCTGTTGTGAATAGTGCTCCAGTGAACATACACACATGCATGTATCTTTATAATAGAATGATGTATATTCCTTTGGGTATATACCCAGTAATGAGATTGCTGGGTCAAATGGTATTTCTGTCTTCAGGAATTTGAGGAATCGCCACACTGTCTTCCACAATGGTTGAACTAATTTACACTCCCACCAACAGTGTGCAAGTGTTCCTTTTTCTCCACAACCTCACCAGCATCTGTTATTATTTGATTTTTTGACTTTTTAATAGTAGTCATTCTGACTGGTGTGAGATGGTATCTCATTGTGGTTTTGATTTACATTTCTCTGATGTTCAGTGATGTTGAGCTTTCTTCATATGATTCTTGGCCACATTTATGTCTTCTTTTAAGAAGTATCTGTTTATGCTTTTTGCCCACTGTTTAATGAGGTTGTCTTTTTCTTGCAAATTTAAGTTCCTTATAGATGCTGGATATTAGACCTTTGTCAGATGTATAGTCTTTCATTCTGTAGACTGTCTGTTTACTCTGGTGATAGTTTCTTTTGCTATGCAGAAGCTCTTTAGTTTAATTAGATCCCATTTGTCAATTTTTGCTTTCGTTGCGATTGCTTTTGACGTCTTTGTCATGAAATCTTTGCTCGTGCCTATGTTCTGAATAGTATTACCTAGGTTGTCTTCCAGGGTTTTTATAGTTCTGGGTTTTATATTTAAGTCCTTAAGCTATTTTGAGTTAATTTTTGTATATGGCATAGGGAAGGGGTCCAGTTTCCATCTTCTGCATATAGCTAGCCAGTTATCCCAGTCCCATTTATTTAACAGGGAATCCTTTCCCCATTGCTTGTTTTTGTCAGGTTTGTCAAAGGTCAGATAGCTGAAGGTGTGTGGTCTTATTTCTGGGTTCTCTATTCTGTTCCATTGGTCTATGTGTCTGTTCTTGTACCAGTACCATGCATGCTGTTTTGGTTACTGTAGCCCTGTAGCATAATTTGAAGTTGAGTAGCATGGTACCTCCAGCTTTGTTCTTTTTGCTTAGGATTTTCTTAGCTGTTCAGGCTCTTTTTTGGTTCCATATAAATTTTAAAATAGTATTTTCGAGTTCTGTGAAGAATGTCAATGGTAGTTTAATGGGAATAGCATTGAATCTGTAAATTGCTTTGGGCAGTATGGCCATTTTAATGACATGATTCTTCTTATCCATGAGCATGGAATGTTTTTCCATTTGTTAATGTCATCTCTCATTTCTTTGAGCAGTGTTTTGTAGTTCTTGTAGAGACCTTTCACCTACCTAGTAGCTGTATTCCTAGGTATTTTATTCTTTTTGTGGCAACTGTGAATGGGAGTTCATTCATGATTTGGCTGTCAGCTTTACTGTTGTTGATGTATGGGAATGCTAACGATCTTTGCACATTGATTTTGTATCCTGAGACTGCTGAAGTTGCTTATCAGCTTAAGAAGCTTTGGGGCTGAGGCAATAGGGTTTTTGAGATATAGGATCGCATAAATGTCTTCCTTTGAGAAGTGTCTGTTCATGTCCTTCGCCCACTTTTTGATGGGGTTGTTTGTTTTTTTCTTGTAAATTTGTTTGAGTTCACTGTAGATTCTGGATATTAGCCCTTTGTCAGATGAGTAGGTTGCGAAAATTTTCTCCCATTTTGTAGGTTGCCTGTTCACTCTGATGGTAGTTTCTTTTGATGTGCAGAAGCTCTTTAGTTTAATTAGATCCCATTTGTCAATTTTGGCTTTTGTTGCCATTGCTTTTGGTGTTTTAGACATGAAGTCCTTGCCCATGCCTATGTCCTGAATGGTAATGCCTAGGTTTTCTTCTAGGGTTTTTATGGTTTTAGGTCTAACATTTAAGTCTTTAATCCATCTTGAATTAATTTTTGTATAAGGTATAAGGAAGGGATCCAGTTTCAGCTTTCTACATATGGCTAGCCAGTTTTCCCAGCACCATTTATTAAATAGGGAATTCTTTCCCCATTGCTTGTTTTTCTCAGGTTTGTCAAAGATCAGATAGTTGTAGATATGCGGCGTTATTTCTGAGGGCTCTGTTCTGTTCCATTGATCTATATCTGTGTTTTGGTACCAGTACCATGCTGTTTTGGTTACTGTAGCCTTGTAGTATAATTTGAAGTCAGGTAGTGTGATGCCTCCAGCTTTGTTCTTTTGGCTTAGGATTGACTTGGCGATGTGGGCTCTTTTTTGGTTCCATATGAACTTTAAAGTAGTTTTTTCCAATTCTGTGAGGAAAGTCATTGGTAGCTTGATGGGGATGGCATTGAATCTGTAAATTACCTTGGGCAGTATGGCCATTTTCATGATATTGATTCTTCCTACCCATGAGCATGGAATGTTCTTCCATTTGTTTGTATCCTCTTTTATTTCATTGAGCAGTGGTTTGTAGTTCTCCTTGAAGAGGTCCTTCACATCCCTTGTAAGTTGGATTCCTAGGTATTTTATTCTCTTTGAAGCAATTGTGAATGGGAGTTCAGTCATGATTTGGCTCTCTGTTTGTCTGTTATTGGTGTATAAGAATGCTTGTGATTTTTGTACATTGATTTTGTATCCTGAGACTTTTCTGAAGTTGCTTATCAGCTTAAGGAGATTTTGGGCTGAGACAACGGGGTTTTCTAGATATACAATCATGTCATCTGCAAACAGGGACAATTTGACTTCCTCTTTTCCTAATTGAATACCCTTTATTTCCTTCTCCTGCCTAATTGCCCTGGCCAGAACTTCCAACACTATGTTGAATAGGAATGGTGAGAGAGGGCATCCCTGTCTTGTGCCAGTTTTCAAAGGGAATGCTTTCAGTTTTTGCCCATTCAGTATGATATTGGCTGTGGGTTTGTCATAGATAGCTCTTATTATTTTGAGATACATCCCATCAATACCTAATTTATTGAGAGTTTTTAGCATGAAGGGTTGTTGAATTTTGTCAAAGGCCTTTTCTGCCTCTATTGAAATAATCATGTGGTTTTTGTCTTTGGTTCTGTTTATACTATGCAGCCATAAAAAATGATGAGTTCATGTCCTTTGTAGGGACATGGATGAAATTGGAAATCATCATTCTCAGTAAACTATCGCAAGAACAAAAAACCAAACACCGCATATTCTCACTCATAGGTGGGAATTGAACAATGAGAACACATGGACACAGGAAGGGGAACATCACACTCTGGGGACTGTTGTGGGGAGGCGGGAGGGAGGAGGGGGGAGGGATAGCTTTAGGAGATATACCTAATGCTAAATGATGAGTTAATGGGTGCAGCACACCAGCATGGCACATGTATACATATGTAACTAACCTGCACATTGTGCACATGTACCCTAAAACTTAAAGTATAATAATAATAAAATAAAAAACCTACCTAAAACGTTTTAATTGTACATATACTTGAAGTTAATATGTAAATTCATATATGTAATTTAAAATAGGTAAATTCATATAAATACATATACATATAAATTCATTTGCCAGTTTTTCATGGAAAGCTAAGACCTGTGCTTTGGTTCTAGATAAGCTGATAAGAGTTCTGTATGATCTCTCTGGAATAAATCATATCCATAGTGAATATTAAAAAAAAAAAGAGTTACAGGATCATGTCATCTGCAAACAGGGATAGTTTGACTTCCTCTTTTTCTATTTGAATGCCCTTTATTTCTTTCTCTTTCCTGATTGCCTTGGCCAGAACTTCCAATATTGTGTTGCATAGGAGTAGTGAGAGAGGGCATGCTTGTCTTGTGCCAGTTTTCAAGGGAAATGGCTCTACCTTTTGTCAATTCAGTATGATATTGGCTGTGGGTTTGTCATAGATGGCTCTTATTATTTTGTGGTATGTTCCTTCAATACCTAGTTTATTGAGAGTTTTTAACGTGAAGGGATGTTGAATTTTATTGAAGGCCTTTTCTGCATCTATTGAGATAATCATGTGGTTTTTCTCTTTAGTTCTGTTTATGTGATGAATCACATTTATTGATTTGCATATGTTGAACTACCTTGCATCCCAGGGATGTAGCCTACTTGATCATGGCAGATAAGCTTTTCGATATGCTGCTGGATTCAGTTTGCCAGTATTTCACTGAGGATTTTTGCATCAATGTTCATCAAGGATATTGGCCTGAAGTTTTCTTTTTTTGTCATTGTATCTCTGCCAGGTTTTGGTATCAGGATGCTGCTGGCCTCATAGAATAAGTTACAGAGTAGTCACTCCTTTTCAATTTTTTGGAATCATTTCAGTAGAAATGGTACCAGCTCTTCTTTGTACCTGTGATAGAATTCAGCTGTGAATCTGTCTGATGCTGGCTTTTTCTGGTTGCTAGGCTATTTGTTACTGCCTCAATTTCTGAACTCGTTATTAGTCTGTTCAGGGATTCAATTTCTTCTTCCTGGTTAAGTCTTGGGAGGGTGTATATATCTAGGAATTTATCTGTTTCTTCTATATTTTCTAGTTTATGTACATAGAGGTGTTTTTAATATTCTCTGATGGTTGTTTGTATTTCTGTGGGGTCAGTGGTAATATCTCCTTTATCATTTCTGATTGTGTTTATTTGAAACTACTCTCTTTTCTTATTTATTAGTCTAGCTAGAAGTCTATCTATTTTTTTTTTTTTAAAACAGCTCCCGGGCTGGACACGGTGGCTCACGCCTGTAATCCCAGCACTTTGGGAGGCCGAGGCAGGTGGATCACGAGGTCAGGAGTTTGAGATCAGCCTGGCCAAAATGGTGAAACCTCGTCTCTACTAAAAATACAAAAATTAGCCAGGCGTGGTGGCATGGGCCTGTAGTCCCAGCTACTCGGGAGACTGAGGAAGAAGAATTGCTTGAACCTGGGAGTCGGAGGTTGTAGTGAGCTGAGATTGCGCCACTGCACTCCAGCCTGGGCAACAGAGCAAGACTCCATCTCAAAAACAAAACAAAAACAGCTCCTGGATTTGTTGATCTCTTGAATGGTTTTTGTGTCTCTATCTCCTTCAGTTCACCTCTGATTTTGATTATTTCTTGTCTTCTGCTAGCTTTGAGATTTGTTTGCTCTTTGTTCTCTAGTTCCTTTAGTTGTGAAGTTAGGTTGTAAACTTGAGATCTAATTTTTTTTTTTTTTTTTTTTTTTTGAGACGGAGTCTCGCTCTGTCGCCCAGGCCGGACTGCGGACTGCAGTGGCGCAATCTCGGCTCACTGCAAGCTCCGCTTCCCGGGTTCACGCCATTCTCCTGCCTCAGCCTCCCCAGTAGCTGGGACTACAGGCGCCCGCCACCGCGCCCGGCTAATTTTTTGTATTTTTAGTAGAGACGGGGTTTCACCTTGTTAGCCAGGATGGTCTCGATCTCCTGACCTCATGATCCACCCGCCTCAGCCTCCCAAAGTGCTGGGATTACAGGCGTGAGCCACCGCGCCCGGCCGAGATCTAATTTTTTGATGTGGGAATTTAGTGCTATACATTTTCCTCTTCATAGTGCCTTAGCAGTGTCCCAGAGATTCAGGTATGTTATCTCTTTTTTCTCATTAGTTTTAAATAACCTATTGAATTTTGCCTTAATTTCATTACTTACCCAGGAGTCATTCAGGAGCAGGTTGTTCAATTTCCATGTAGTTGTGTGGTTTTGAATGGATTTCTTAGTCTTGAATTCTAATTTGATCGTGTTGTGGTCCAAGAGACTGTTATAATTTCCGTTCTTTCACATTTGCTGAGGAGTGTTTTGCTTCCAATTATGTGATCAATTTTAGAGTAAGTGCCAAGTGGCAATGAGAAGAATGTATATTTGTTGTTTTGGGGTGGGGAGATCTGTAAATACCTGTCACTTCCATTTGATCTAGTGCTGAGTTCAGATCCTGAATATCTTTGTTCATTTTGTGTCTCCATGATCTAATATTGTCAGTGGAATGCTAAAATCTCCCACTGTTATTGTGTGGGAGTCTGTCTCTTTGAAGGTCTCTAAGAACTTGCTTTGTGAATCTGGGTGCTCCTGTGTTGGATGCATATATATTTAAGATATAATTCTTGTTGAATTGAACTCTCTACCATTATGTAATGCCCTTCTTTGTCTTTTTTTGTCTTTATTGGTTCAAAGTCTGGTTTTTCAGAAACTAGGATTGCAACCCCTGCTTTTTTCTGTTTTCCATTTGCTTGGTAGATTCTCCTCCATTATTTTGAGCCCCTGACATGTCTAGGTTATATAGTGTAGCTTGTTGCTCCAACCATTGTTGTGTATGTGGTCCGTCATTGACTGAAACATTGTTATGCAACACATGTCGGTAAATGAACATGATTATCTCTCTGTTTTATTTTGGTTTTTTATTTCACTCAGTATTTCATAATTTTCAGCACATCATATCTTAGACATATTTTGTTAGATTTGTACTTAAAGAATTTCATAGTATTAGTACTGTTTTAAATGGCATTTTAATGAAACGTGAATTTCCAATTGTACATTGTTAATATATAGAAATACAATAGATTTGCCCTTATATCCTTCAGCCTTGACACACTCACTTACTCTAGCATCTTTTTTGGAGGTTCTTCGGGATTTCCTTTTTAGACAATCATATGTCTCGAGTAGAGACAGTTTTATTTCTCCTTTTCCAATCTTAATGCCTTTTATTATGTTTTCTTGCCTTATCGCACCAGCTATGGCCTCCTGTATGATGTGGAATAGGAGCGGTGAAAGTGGATACCTTTGCCTTTTCCCAGTTTTAGGGGGAAAGTTTTTCACTATTAATATTGATATTAGCTGTAGGATTTTTATGGATACATTTTTTAATCAACTAGAGGTGGTTCCCTTTCATTTCTGGTTTGCTGAGTTTTTATAATGAATTGATGTTGAATTTTATGAAATTCTTTTACTGCGAGTATTAAGATGGTTATATGGGTTTTCTTCTATAGTCTATTGAAACGGTGTATTATACTGATTTATTTTGAATGTTCAACAAGCTTTGCATTACTGAGTTAAGCTTCACTTATTCCTAATTTATTATCTTTTTATATATTGCTGGGTTCATTTTGCTAATATTTTGTGGAAGATTTTTTTTTTTTTTTTTTTTTGAGATGGAGTTTCGCTCTTGTTACCCAGGCTGGAGTGCAATGGCGTGATCTCAGCTCACCGCAACCTCTGCCTCCCTGGTTCGAGCAGTTCTCCTGCCTCAGCCTCCCAAGTAGCTGGGATTATAGGCATGTGCCACCACGCCTGGCTAATTTTGCATTTTTAGTAGCAATGAGGTTTCTCCATGTTGGTCAGGCTGGTCTCGAACTCTTGACCTCAGGTGATCCACCTGCCTCAGCCTCCCAAAGACCTGGGATTACAGGCGTGAGCCACCGCTCCTGGCTGGAAGATTTTTGCATCTATATTCATAAGCTTGAATTGATTTTAAGTAAATACCAGAAGGACTTTAACTTATAGTAAAGGGGAACTATATAATTTACGATATCCCTTTTGCTGAGGGCAACTAGAAAAACTCAGAAAATGGAAAAGAGAGAAAAAGGGTTCTTTTTAGAAAAAATGTTAGACCCACAAACCACACAGAGAAAAGGGTTCTTAAAAACATTATAGAGTGGCTGGACTCTGTGGCTTATGTCTGTAATCCCGGCACTTTGTGGGGCTGAGGCGGGCAGATCACAAGGTCAGGAGTTCGAGACCAGCCTGAACAACATGATGAAACCCCGTTTCTACTAAAAATACAAAAATTAGCTGGGCATGGTGGTGCGTGCCTGTAATCCTAGCTACTCAGGAGGCTGAGGCAGGAGAATTGCTTGAACCCGGGAGGCAGAGCTTGCAGTGAGCCAAGATCACACAACTGCACTCCAGCCTGGGTGACAGAGTGAGACTACGTCTCAAAAAAGTAAAAAATAAAAAATCATAGAGCTATCAGACTGACTGGTCATATTTCCACATTTAGAGGCAAGGAAACATATGGACAATACTGTCCATTTTACAGTTGTAATTGTCATTTTAAAAATAAGATAATACTTTTTGCATCTGGCGTAAATAGTTTCTTTTTTACTTTTGTTTCTTTAAAGGTAGACATAAATACATTAACTCATAACCTGCAGACTCTTGAAGAAGAGAATAAGCACCTGGCAGATCAAATGGCTTCCCTAGAACTTCAGCAAGTCACTTCTGATTACCATGGGGTGGGTATAAAAAGATCAGTCTAAATAGCAATTAATGACTAATGAGTTCAGAAATAACAACAACCAGAGGTCAGGAGATGGGTTTTCTTTGTGTTTTCATAATTATTAAAAATCTAAGCAGAGATTCTTACAGTATTCAAACAATAGTGATTTGAGAAACCAAGAATTTAAGGGATTTATTAAACATTTGCCTTCACAATCTGTGTTACTGAAAAATACAAATATATCTGATGTTTTAAAATAGTTCCTCTTCCATAAATTATGAGCAAGAAACTTGTATTTTTTTTCTCATCAGACAGTTTCCTCCATTAGGCAATCAGTAATAAGTCTGATTTCTGAAAGCTATTTGACAAGGTCAGTGCATTACAAATAAGTGGTACAGTTCTTAAAATACCTTCTCCAGGTGGGGCGCGGTGGCTCACACCTGTAATCCCAGCACTTTGGGAGGCCGAGGCAGGTGGATCACGAGGAAAGGAGATTGAGACCATCCTGGCTAACACGGTGAAACCCTGTCACTACTAAAAATAGAAAAAATTAGCCGGGCGTGGTGGCGGATGCCTGTAGTTCCAGCTACTCGGGAGGCGGAGCTTGCAGTGAGCCAAGATCAGGCCACTGCACTCCAACCTGGGCGACAGAGCGAGATTCCGTCTCAAAAAAAAAAAAAAAAATCTTCTCCAAGTAAAGGGGATTTGAAGATATGGTCATTCTGTTAAGTAGCTAATAATTTTCTTGTGTGCTTTCGAATACATGAAAAAGTATTACTTACTTGCTTTTAAGCATGCAAATAATCTTTGAAAATTCCTAGAAGACCCCGATGTGACTCTGTTTTAACCTGAGCTAAAGTCTTTCAAACTGTTATAAGCTGCTCATTACTTCAACTATGAAAAATTATACAGACTAAGTCTAAATCTTCTTATATGGTCATGGTTTTCAAGCCAGATTTCCTACTTTTGAGTTTTGGCTGTGACCTCGGGTATGATCCTTAACTTGTCTGAGCCTCAGTTTCTTAATCTGTCAAAATGAGGATAATAATGCTATAACTGTGGATGTTTGAGCTTAAGTAAATTAATACACACAGAACATGTAGCAGATAGCTAACATTTATTGAATTCTTAGTATCTGAACTGTCTCAGAGAAAAAAAAAAAGCCTGTAAGTGCCTATTGGAATGACAAGATCCATTAGCTGTAATCCCTGGTATTATTTCAGACCAACCCTCTCTCTCTGCAGAATTAAAGATTCAGCCATGTCCTTTGCTGGTTGGCCAGCCTCAGCTGGGTTCCTTTGGGAGACCACATTCTCAGTCTGACTGATTCTTTCCTGAATCCATTGCCAGTGAGCAGGCCTAGCCTTACCCTATTAATGACTTTGACAGATCTTGCCAGTGATTTGGTCAGTGTTGATTTTTGCCTGCCTACCATGTCTTGATTACAGGTTCCCAATGATGACTCATAGATAACGCAATTCTAGCTTGCAGCTCTGTCTCCACCCAGAAGCGTCTCTGACCATGCCTGCCTGGAAATGCTTCGGTTGGCTATATGAGTTTGAGGAATGAGCTAGGGATTTCAGGATTTGTTTTTAAATCTTAGCAATATCATTAAATCTATTGTCATTCAATGCTGGCAGTGTATTTTTGTTCTTTGAGAGTAAAAACTTGAAATTCTTTATAAAGAGTACCATCTGGTCTAACCCATTGATTTTTGGAGATACACATGACTGTGTGTTGTGTGTGTAACATCACAAACTTGAATTCAGATAGACCTGGTTTCAACCTCCATTTACTGTGTGACCTGGGCAGGTTCTTAACCTCTCATGGCCTGCAATGCCAAGAGGATCTCTTCTAGTGTAGGTATCCCACAGTATACTCTGCACATCCATATCAGAATAATTACTACATTGATTAGAAATTGGCCTGTTTATGCATCTGCATTCACTCTCTTCTAATGCAGGAACAGTAGTTACTCATCTTTATATTCCCTTGCCTAGCATAATGCCTAATACATAATAGGTGCTTTAAAAACATTGATTGACTAGAATACAAAGAAGGTCATGTCTGTTTTGCCAGGCAGTAAGGATTAATATCATATTGCAATAATAAATATTATTCTCTGCTATTTCTTTCATATTTCCTAATTTCAGGGGTTTTTTTTGTTGTTGTTGTTTTTTGCCATTTTAGCCTGTAGTGATAGTGCAATTTAATTCCATTACCACTGGCAGTCACGCAGGGAACCACAGTGAGAAAAGATCCAAATGTAGGAAGGTTACCATGCCTGAGTTCAGTTTGAATGATTTTCCTCCCCACTTCTCTTTTGGGGTTTAAACATATATTTTAAAATTGTAGCACCAGACAGGAATATAATTCCCTGTACAACTGGGACTTTAATGACTTGAAATTTAAAAATGAACTAAAATGTATTATTTCTTAAAACCAGGATGACATTGTCAGTGTACACTCATGCAGATGTCTAAGTTGGTTTGATTTGCTGGGGCTCATGTCATACTGTTGTTAAATATTTTGAATAAAAAATTCAAAATAATAAAAAACTTTAAAAAATGCTTACAATCTGCTTATAAAGTAGCTTTACCAAGATGCCAGTATCCTACTGGTTTTGTGTATTCTTCTAACAGCTTCTGCTAACTTGTACAGCTCACCTAGATTTAAAAAATGATTTTAGAAATAATTTTGTGGCTTACTGTTGATCTTTGGCAACCTGTCTTTCATATCTTAAGATAATTCTTCCTATTTTTACTTCCTGCTTTTCTAAAGAATGGTATCTTTGTGTTTCTGAGTTAAAATGGATATTCTAATGTTTGGTATCTTTCTCTGTATGATGTTTCTCAAGTGATTCCCCAGTTTCTGTTTTGCTCTGTGTACTAATAATGTTTATAGTATATTACCAAGAGTATTTAAGCAAAAGTTAATTTCAGTTCACTCTTCTGTAACTCAAAACCTGAGATATTCACTCATTTAAGTGGTTTCTAATTTCTTGTCTCCTGTTGATGAAAGTACAGGGCCTATTTAAATCTGTAAACAGTAATTTAAGTAACTGCCTTAACATCCACTTTCCCTTAGCAACTTGGAACAATTATTTTGTGTGTGTGTCATAATATTTAAATAAGTGAGCCTTTGTCAAATATTATCACATTTTGATTTTGCTCAATTTTCGTTTGTACATTAGCATTCTCTTTAGTGGCAAAATAGGAAAATTATTGTTTTAAAAGTATATTTAAAAGATTAATGGAATTTCTTTATGCCTTTGCCTGAAAGAGGGAATTGTATTGATAGGGAAAAAGCTCCATTATTTTTTAAATTTCTGGTCACCTTTTATAGAAGACTCAGATAATTTAAGTTATTCTTTAAAAAAAACTTTCCCCATTTCAAGAAGATAGTTATATTTGAGTGTTTAGCATTTGTTAGAGCTAGCATATTTTAGGTTAACTCTAGTTCTTGGTTTTTTATATGTTCTTACCTATGCTTTACAGCACACTGAGACATCTTAATTTGTAGAAGTTTGAATCGAATTTTAAATAAGCTTTTTTTTAAAATTATACTTTAAGTTTTAGGGTACATGTGCACAACGTGCAAGTTTGTTATATATGTATACATGTGCCACGTTGGTGTGCTGCACCCATTAACTCGTCGTTTAACATTAGGTATATCTCCTAATGCTATCCCTCCCCCCTCTCCCCACCCGGCAACAGGCCCCAGTGTGTGATGTTCCCCTTCCTGTGTCCATGTGTTCTCATTGTTCAATTCTTGTAGCTTTGCTTTTGTGGTATTATTGACCATCCTTACAATTTATTTGCTGCTGAAGACTTGGTCAACATAATCCTAAACTGTAATGTTACATTCATGGAATGATTTTGTATCATAGTTCCCAAAACAGATAACATTTTGGCAAAGAGCACTGTGTTTTCCGCAAAAATTAATCAATGATGAACTAACTTTGTGATAATATATTTATCATCATGAGTTTCCTATTTATTGATAGCAGTCTACATTTTGCTCAGGTTATTTTGAAACCAATACTCTACTGGTCTAAATGCTTTTTAAAACATATTTTCCTTTGCCTTAGTGGGAGCAACACAGTGATTTTAAAAACTTTTAAAAACTGAATTATGAATATGTATAATAATGTATGAAATAAATATTAATTCTGACAGGACAAATACTTGGTCTAATAGTTAATAATCCACCAAAGCCTAATATTGGGTATAAGTTTTTATATTAAAGGTGTATGATTTTACGGTAGGTGGTATACAAGGGCTTTTCCATAGATTTTTATCAAGTGTTGAACGTCAAAAATGAAAATTCTTCTAGCCAAGGCAACTGCTAAGGAGAAAACAATGCTCTAGACTACTGTGCCTTTTTTTTTTTTGAAATGGGGGTCTTGCTCTGTCTTCCAGGCTGGAGTGCAATGGCACCATCACGGCTCAGTGTAGCCTCGACCAGCTGGTTTCAAGCAATTCTCCTGCCTCAACCTCTCAAGTAACTAGGACTACAGGCATGCACCACTATGCCCAGCTAATTTTTTAATTTTTTGTAGAGACAGGGTTTTGCTATGTTGACCAGACTGGTCTTGAATTCCTGGCCTCAAGTGATTCTCCCACCTCAGCCACCTAAAGTGCTGGGATTACAAGTGTGAGCCACTGTGCCCAGCTTAGTGTGCCTTCTCATAGAAAATATCTTGAACAGAGGAAAATATGAGTTACAGATTATAGTAATCTAGTTTGGAATGTGTTTTTGCTTTTATTTAGAAGCAGGTGTGGTAGGTTCACACACTTAAAATAAAGGATATTACAAAGTGGTGACTAAAGAATAGCTGTAATCATGTTGGAGATAGTGAGGAATATCTCTTATGTAAATTAATATATGGGTTTTATCTTATCAGCTTACCTAAAATTGAACATAAAACAAAAGTCTAAAATTCTTTGGCTTAAAATGCCTAAAAGGCACTCTGTTCTGTTATTCACAGAATAAGCAAATATAAACCAGAAATAGTGAATAATGTCAATATGAGATACTTACCAACATTAATAAGACTTTGAACTTAAGATTTACTGCAAATGATCCATAGTGCAGCTAGTTAGCTTATGAGTGATTAAGAGTTTGTGTCTTCAGTCACATTTGCTTTGTGTGCATTATCTCCACATTTGGTTTATGAAGATGATTTTGACATATGGCAATATTTCCTGTTATTAAGATATAACACTGGCATTGATTGTGGAGAGTGAAAAGTCCATGTTCAATCACTTAATGGTGCCCCTCATATAAAGAAAGTACCAATATGGCCCAAAATTTAAATTTTGTACTTATTTTTTTCTGATGTAGTCTGAGAACAACAGGATATGAAAAAATAACTGTCATTATTAAAGGCTGTTTGAATAATGAAAATATGTAATTTCGTGAAATATGAAAGCTTTGGTAACGTTTGCCCCAGATAATACTGTGTTGAGTATTTGATCAAACAATGAGTTTGAGTCTCCAATAAACATTTATTTTGTTTTTGAGATTTTTCTAAACTGCTTTTTACCATGGTAAGTGAGGTGCCTTCTGCTGTCAGTGGTCCTGGTCACTTGCAGCTGCTATTTCCGTAAAGAACTGTGTAATGCTCCACAGACTACCTGCAGTCACTGATACAACCACACCACATCCATGCTGGATCACAACTACAAAGGAATAACTGACATAACAAAAAAAGTTAATATACAAAACCAACAAACTCTGGTACTCTTAAAGCTTCATGCTTTTATTAGCAGTCTCTGTACATGTTGCATATTAGCCCTGTGATCAACTATGTAGGAAAAGACTAAAAGCAGCAGTAGCAAATAAATAGGAATCTTGATCTTATGATGATAGAAATGGTAAGGATGTAAATACTTGTTTAAAAATGAAAATGGTTATTCCTTTCTATGCCTAGAGGTTCTGATGCCTTTGTTTGCCTTATCAGCTTGCCCAACAGAAGGTGGAAAAAATCACTGAAAGTAAAAATAAACTGGCCTATGAAAACGGAAAACTCCAGGTATGAGATTTATTTTCTGATTTTTCTTGTTTGAATTTTAAAAATACCAATTATCAAATTAAATATTGCTAGATTTTGAGAATACCTAGCTCTGTCATTTACTAAGTCTATAGTCTCTGAACATCCTTAAGTTTGTGGCCTCATTAATAGCCAGGTGACTTCTGTTTACATACTGTAGTTGCTGAAACCTAAAATTGTGAAGCCAAAACCCATTCTGTGACTATTTGAAACTTTATTATAATCATTTTATGCATGGTCATTCACTGAGAATGTAGAAAGCCTATACCTCTTTTTGCTGAATTTTTATAACACATTTCTAAAAAGAAATAAATCTGGAAACAGACTCAGAGGCAATTGAGTGAATGTGATGATACTGTTCTTTTGCTGCCTGTGGGTTTTGTCCCTATGGTACCCCAGAGCAGGAAGCCTGCAACTGATATAGGTAAGCCTGACTTAAACTAACTCCAATGGAAACACTGCAATCCAAATCAGTGGTGCTAAGTCTTAGCTACACATTAGAATCACTAGGCAGTTTTTAAAATTCCTCATGCTGGGAAGTGTATGATATCTGCCATTTACTTTGAAATGCAGCATAGAAAAAATAGGTTGATGGATGGATAGAGGAAATGATAAATGGATAGATACGTGATAAGCAAATAAAAGAATATTAATGGTAGAATTTGGATGGGATGGTTGGTGTATGCATGTTCACAGTAAAATTCTTTCCATTTTTCTATATATTTAAAACATTTTATAAAATGTTGGGGGAGGCTGTGCGTGGTGGTTCATACCTGATCCCAACACTTTGGGTGGCTGAGGCAGGAGAATGGCTTGAGGCCAGGAGTTTGAGACTAGCCTGGGCAATATAGCAAGACCCTGACTCTACAAAAATTAAATAAATAAAAATTAGGCAAGTGTGATGGCAAGCGCCTGTAATCCTAGCTACTTGGGAGGCTCAGGTGGGAGCCCCAAGTGGGAGGATCACTTGAGTCCAGGAGTTGGAGGCTATGGTGAGTTATGATCATGCCATTGCATTCCTGCCTGGGTGATAGAGTGAGACCCTGTCTCTAGAAAAAAATGAAGGGGGAAAATTCCCATGACTAGAAAGGCATTCCAGAGCAATTAAATCAAAATCTCAGGGGATAGTTCCTTGACTGAAGTGCTGTGTGTGTGTGTGTGTGTGTGTGTGTGTGTGTGAGATGAGGTCTCACTCTCTCATCCAGGCTGGAGTGCAATGGTGCAATATCTGGGCTTGCTGCAGCCTCTGCCTTCCGGGCTCAAATGTTCCTCCCACCTCAGTCACCCAAGTAGCTGGGATTCAGGTGTGCAGCACCATACCCAGCCAAGTTTTTTCATATTTTTGGTTTTTCCATGGAGATAGGGTTTCTCCATGTAGCCCAGGCTGGTCTCGAACTCCTGAGCTCAAGCAATCTGCCTGCCTTGGCCACCCAAAGTGCTGGGATTACAAGAGACTTCAGTACTTTTTAAAGCTACTCAGATGATTCCAATGTTACAACCATAGTTGAGGCCCACTAGATTAAATAGTATGAAGTGAAGCCCAGTTAGGCTTGGCAACCGTCCTAGTCTGTTTTCTGTTGCTATAACAGAATGTCTGAGACTGAGTAATTTGTAAATTAAAGAAGTTTATTTGGCTCATGATTCTGGAGGCTGGGAAGTCCAGGATCATACACCCTATCTGTGAACACCTCATGCTGACTCATGTCATGGCAGAAAGCAGATGGGAGAGTGGGTGTTTGCAAAGAGACCAAACATAAGAGGCAGCCTCACTTTATAACAACTCAAGAGCGAGAACTTATTCACCCATGTGAGACTGCATTAACCCTTCATGAGAGCAGATCCCTCATTACCCAAATACCTCTTAAAGGTCCCACTACCTCTCAACATTTAATTACATCAGCAGTTAAATTGCAGCATGAGTTTTGGCAGGGTCAAACCACATCCAAACCATAGCAGCAACTATGGAGCTGATTTGATAAGTAATCTCACTAGAAGCTTGCCGAACACATCAGCATTAACCTCATCCTCATCTACTCAAAGGGTTTACCATAGGGTTAGCAGACAGGATAGGGCCCAGAAATAGCAGGCCATCTAAAAGGTAGTCGATAAGCCATGCTTGCGGAACAATACATTACTAGAACAATAAAAAGAACTACAATAAAAAGAATTACTAGAACACCTATTAATATTAATATTTTGCAGAGGTAGTGATGCATTTAAATATTATCTACATTTATGTGACCGTGGAAAGATCTTAATTTTCTTGAGTTTCATCTTAATCATCTATAAAATGATGAGGATAAGCACACCTCTCTTATCTACTTCTCATTGGGAAAAATAGGCTACATTACAGGCTGGGTATATACATCTTTACAGGCATAAAATAACTTTCCCCTTTCTGAAATGAATGATCTTATAAGAGGCTATGACCCATGACTTTAACCTTTTTTTAGTTTTTCCAAGAAAAATGAAATATATTATGAAATATATAAGACAAATCCCAGGCTCTCATGACAGACTTAAAGCCAAATTTTGACTGGGAATGAAATATATTTTATAATTTATGGATGGGTCTGATGTTCTGTCTGACCTTTTAAACCTCAACTATGCAATCTTAGAAATTATCCAGATTCTGTGTAATCATAAAGGAAATACATGCCTGTTTGCTGTTCATATTCCTATAATAAGAGTTTAAGATTTTTGATAGTCTTTGAAGAAACACTTTTTGAACTATTGTGAACTATTGATTCATTGGTGCTTTTATGTCAGGTCTTGGGCTGCCACATTCCAAAAGCACTGACTTCATCAGCTCTAGGGAAAGTGCTCTTGGAGCACATAACTCTTACAAGACAATTTAAAGGAAGAGCTGTATACTAAACATAGTCAAAACAGTAGTCTGCTGTGTGTTCTCAACTGGATTAGAATGGATTAAAAATATACATATGAATTGTATTTGGTAAAAGACTACATTTTCAGAATCAACTTGTTAATGAATGATATAAATACTGGATTTTGTGTGTTAATGTAAACTTTATTGGAAACTGCTGCCTCATGTTCAAACATGGTTTGAACTTCCTTTTCAGTGCTGTACAGTATTCCATTATGTAAATATGCCACAATGTATTTATTCCTCTGTTGATGGATAATCGGCTAGTTCTTAATTGCTTGCAAATAATAACAATGATGATATGATGAATTTTTGTACCTGTCTCCTTATATACAGAAGATTCTCTCAGCTAAATATAAAATTCTTAGGAGTAGAATTACTGGGTTTTAGGATGTGCATATCCTAAGTTTTACTAGATTTTGTTATATTTCCCCTTACTAAAAGTAGTTATGCCAGTTTTAAAATCAGTATTTTTTTAATTATACTTTAAGTTCTAGGGTACATGTGCACAACATGCAGGTTTGTTACATAGATATACATGTGCCATGTTGGTTTGCTGCACCCATTAACTCATCATTTACATTAGGTATATCTCCTAATGCTATCCCTTCCGCTGCTCCCCACCCCACGACAGGCCCCGGGGTGTGATGTTCCCTGCCCTGTGTCCAGGTGTTGATGTTGTTCAATTCCCACCTATGAGTGAGAACATGGGGTGTTTGTTTTTCTGTCCTTGAGATAGTTTGCTGATAATGATGGTTTCCAGCTGCATCCATGTCCCTGCAAAGGACATGAACTCATCATTTTTTTATGGCTGCATAGTATTGAATGGTGTATATGTGCCACATTTTCTTAATCCAGTCTATCATCTATGAACATTTTGGGTTGGTTCCAAGTCTTTGCTATTGTGAATAGTGCCGCAATAAACATACATGTGCATGTGTCTTTATAGTAGCATGATTTATAATCCTTTGGGTATATACCCAGTAATGGGATGGCTGGGTCAAATGGTATTTTCTAGTTCTAGATCCTTGAGGAATCACCACACTGTCTTCCACAATGGTTGAACTAGTTTACACTTCCACCAACAGTGTAAAAGCATTTCTGTTTCTCCACATCCTCTCCAGCATCTGCTGTTTCCTGACTTTTTAGTGATCCCCCTTCTAACTGGTGTGAGATGGTATCTCATTGTGGTTTTGATTTGCATTTCTCTGATGGCCAGTGATGATGAGCATTTTTTCATGTGTCTGTTGGCTGCATAAATGCCTTCTTTTGAAAACTGTCTGTTCATATCCTTCGCCAACTTTTTGATGGGGTTGTTTTCTTGTAAATTTGTTTAAGTTCTTTGTAGATTCAGGATATTAGCTCTTTGTCAGATGGGTAGATTGCAAAAATTTTCTCCCATTCTGTAGGTTGCCTGTTCACTCTCATGGTAGTTAGTTTATTTTGCTATGCAGAAGCTCTTTAGTTTAATTAGATCCCATTTGTCAATTTTGGCTTTTGTTGCCATTGCTTTTGGTGTTTTAGTCATGAAGTCTTTGCCGAGGCCTATGTCCTGAATGGTATTGCTTAGGTTTTCTTCTAGGGTTTTTATGGTTTTAGGTCTAACATTTAAGTCTTTAATCCATCTTGAATTAATTTTTGTATAAGGTGTAAGGAAGGGATCCAGTTTCAGCTTTCTACATATGGCTAGCCAGTTTTCCCAGCACCATTTATTAAATAGGAAATCCTTTCCCCATTTCTTGTTTTTGTCAGATTTGTCAAAGATCAGATGGTTGTAGATGTGTGGTGTTATTTCTGAGGGCTCTGTTCTGTTCCATTGGTCTATATATCTGTTTTGGTGCCAGTACCATGCTGTTTTGGTTACTGCAGCCTTATAGTATAGTTGGAAGTCAGGTAGCATGATGCCTCCAGCTTTGTTCTTTTGGCTTAAGACTGCCTTGGCAATGCGGGCTCCTTTTTGGTTCCATATGAACTTTAAAGTAGTGAAGAAAGTCATTGGTAGCTTGATGGGGATGGCCTTGAATCTATAAATTACCTTGGGCAGTATGGCCATACGGCATTATGGAAGAACAAATATTCTTCCATTTGTTTGTGTCCTCTTTTATTTTGTTGAGCAGTGGTTTGTAGTTCTCCTTGAAGAGGTCCTCCACATCCCTTGTAAGTTGGATTCCTAGGTATTTTATTCTCTTTGAAGCAATTGTGAATGGGAGTTCACTCATGATTTGGCTGTTTGTTATTGGTGTATAGGAATGCTTGTGATTTTTGCACATTGATTTTGTATCCTGAGACTTTTCTGAAGTAGCTTATCAGCTTAAGGAGATTTTGGGCTGAGACAATGGGGTTTTCTAAATATACAGTCATGTCATCTGCAAACAGGGACAATTTGACTTCCTCTTTTCCTAATTGAATACCCTTTATTTCTTTCTCTTGCCTGATTGCCCTGGCTAGAACTTACAATACTATGTTGAATAGGAGTGGTGAGAGAGGGCATCCCTGTCTTGTGCCAGTTTTCAAAGGAAATGCTTTCAGTTTTTGCCCATTCAGTATGATATTGGCTGTCAGTTTTTCATAAATAGCTCTTATTATTTTGAGACAATGTTCCATCAATACCTAGCTTATTGAGAGTTTTTAGCAGGAAGAGTTGTTGAATTTTGTCAAAGGCCTTTTCTGCATCTATTGAGATAATCGTGGTTTTTTCATTGGTTCTGTTTATGTGATGGATTATGTTTATTGGTTTGTGTATGTTGAACCAGTCTTGCATCCCAGAGATGAAGCTGACTTGATTGTGGTGGATAAGCTTTTTGATGTGCTGCTGGATTTGTTTTGCCAGTATTTTATTGAGGATTTTCACATCAATGTTCATCAGGGATATTGGTCTAAAATTCTCTTTTTTTGTTGTGTCTCTGCCAGGCTTTGGTATCAGGATGATGCTGGCCTCATAAAATGTGTTAGGGAGGATTCCCTCTTTTTCTATTGATTGGGATAGTTTCAGAAGGAATGGTATCAGCTCCTCTTTGTACCTCTAGTAGAATTTGCCTGTGAATCCGTCTGGTCCTGGACATTTTTTGGTTGGTAGGCTATTATTGCCTCAATTTCAGAGACTGCTATTGGTCTATTTAGAAGTTCAATTTCTTCCTGGTTTAGTCTTGGGAGAGTGTATGTGTCCAGGAATTTATCCATTTCTTCTAGATTTTCTGGTTTATTTGTGTAGAGGTGTTTATAGTATTCTCTGATGGTAGTTTGTATTTCTGTGGGATAGGTAGTGATATCCCCTTTATCATTTTTTTATTGTGTCTATTTGATTCTTCTCTATTTTTTTCTTTATTAGTCTTGCTAGCAGTCTATCAATTTTGCTGATCTTTTCAAAAAACCGTCTCCTGGATTCCTTGATTTTTTTGAAGGGTTTTTTGTGTCTCTGTCTCCTTCAGTTCTGCTCTGATCTTAGTTATTTCTTGCCTGCTGCTAGCTTTTGAATTTGTTTGCTCTTGCTTCTCTAGTTCTTTTAATTGTGATGTTAGGGTGTTGATTTTAGATCTTTCCTGCTTTCTCTTGTGGGTATTTAGTGCTGTAAATTTCCCTCTACACACTGCTTTAAATGTGTCCCAGAGATTCTGGTACATTGTGTCTTTGCTCTCATTGGTTTCAAAGAACATCTTTATTTCTGCCTTAATTTTGTTATTTACCCAGTAGTCATTCAGGAGCACCAGGTTGTTCAGTTTCCATGTAGTTGTGCGGTTTTGAGTGAGTTTCTTAATGCTAATTTGATTGTACTGTCATCTGAGAGACAGTTTGTTGTGATTTCTGTTCTTTTACATTTGCTGAGGAGTGCTTTACTTCCAACTATATGGTCAATTTTGGAATAAGTGTGATGTGGTGCTGAGAAGAATGTATATTCTGTTGATTTGGGGTGGAGAGTTCTGTAGATGTCTATTAGGTCTGCGTGGTGCAAAGCTGAGTTCAAGTCCTGGATATCCTTGTTAACCTTCTGTCTCATTGATCTGTCGAACATTGACAGTAGGGTGTTAAAGTCTCCCACTATTATTGTGTGGGAGTCTAAGTCTCTTTAAAGGTCTCTAAGAACTTCCTTTATGAATCTGGGTGCTCTTGTATTGGGTGTATATATATTTAGGATAGTTACCTCTTCTTGTTGAATTGATCCCTTTACCGTTATGTAATGGCCTTCTTTGTCTCTTTTGATCTTTGTTGGCTTAAAGTCTGTTTTATCAGAGACTAGGATTGCAACCCCTGCTTTTTCTTGGTTTCCATTTGCTTGGTAGATCTTCCTCCATCCCTTTATTTTGAGTCTATTTGTGTCTCTAAACGTGAGATGGGTCTCCTGAATACAGCACAGTGATGGGTCTTGACTCTTTATCCAATTTGCTAGTCTGTGTCTTTTAATTGGGGCATTTAGTCCATTTACATTTAAGGTTAATATTTTTATGTGTGAATTTGATCCTGTCATCATGATGTTAGCTGGTTATTTTGCCCATTAGTTGATGCAGTTTCTTCATAGCATCAGTGATCTTTGCAATTTGGCATGTTTTTGCAGTGGCTGGTACCGGTTGTTCCTTTCCATGTTTAGTGCTTCCTTCAGGAGCTCTTGTAAGGCAGACCTGGTGGTGACAAAATATCTCAGCATTTGCTTGTCTGTAAAGGTTTTTATTTCTCCTTCACTTATGAAGCTTAATTTAGCTGGATATTAAATTCTGGGTTGAAAATTCTTTTCTTTAAGAATGTTGAATATTGGCCCCCACTCTCTGGCTTGTAGAGTTTCTCTGAGAGATCTGCTCTTAGTCTGATGGGCTTTCCTTTGTGGGTAACCCGACCTTTCTCTCTGGCTGCCGTTAACATTTTTTCCTTCATTTCAACCTTAGTGAATCTGACAATTATGTGTCTTGGGATTGCTCTTCTTGAGGAGTATCTTTGCGGTGTTCTCTGTATATCCTGAATTTGAATGTTGTCCTGTCTTGCTAGGTTGGGGAAGTTCTCCTGGATAATATCCTGAAGAGTGTTTTCCATCTTGGTTCCATGCTCCCTGTCACTTTCAGGTACACCAATCAAACGTAGATTTGGTCATTTTACATAGTCCCATATTTCTTGGAGGCTTTGTTGATTTCTTTTTACTCTTTTTTCTCTAAACTTCTCTTCTCGCTTTATTTCACTGATTTGATCTTCAATCACTGATACCCTTTCTTCCACTTGATCGAATTGGCTATTGAAGCTTGTGTATGCATCACGTAGTTCTCGTGCCATGGTTTTCAGCTCCATCAGGTCATTTATGGTCTTCTCTACACTGTTTTTTCTAGTTAGCCATTCGTCTAATGTTTTTTCAAGGTTTTTAGCTTCCTTGCAATGGGTTCGAACATCCTCCTTTGGCTCGGAGAAATTTGTTATTACCGACCTTCTGAAGTCTACTTCTGTCAGGTAGTCAAAGTCATTCTCTGTCCAGCTTTGTTCCGTTGCTGGTGAGGAGCTGTGATCCTTTGGGGGAGAAGAGGCACTCTGGTTTTTAGAATTTTCAGCTTTTCTGCTCTGGTTTCTCCCCATCTTTGTGCTTTTATCTACCTTTGGTCTTTGACATTGGTGACCTACAGATGGAGTTTTCATGTGGATGCCCTTTTTGTTGATGTTGATGCTATTCCTTTTTGTTTGTTAGTTTTCCTTCTAACAGTCAGGTCCCTCAGCTGCAGGTCTGTTGGAGTTTGTTGGAGGTCCACTCCAGACCCTGTTTGCCTGGGTATCACCACCGGAGGCTGCAGAACAGCAAATATGGCTGCCTGATCCTTCCTCTGGAAGTTTTGTCCTGGTGGGGCACCCGGCTGTATGAGGTGTCAGTTGGCCCCTACTGGGAGGTGTCTCCCAGTTAGACTACATGGGGGTCAGGGACCCACTTGAGGAGGCAGTCTGTCTGTTCTCCGAGCTCAAACACTGTGCTGCGAGAACCACTGCTCTCTTCAGAGCTGTCAGACAGGGACGTTTAAGTCTGCAGAAGTTTCTGCTGCCTTTTGTTCAGCTATGCCCTGCCCCCAGAGGTGGAGTCTACAGAAGCAGGAGGTCTTGCTGAGCTGTGGTGGGCTCTGCCCAGTTCGAGCTTCCCTGACTGCTTTGTTTACCTACTCAAGCCTCAGCAATGGCGGACGCCCCTCCCCATGCCAGGCTGCTGCCTCAGACTTCTGCGTTAGCAGTGAGCAAGGCTCCGTGGGCATAGGACCCGCCAAGCCAGGCGCAGGATATAATCTCCTGGTGTGCTGTTTGCTAAGACTGTTGGAAAAGCACAGTATTTGGGCAGGAGTGTCCTGTTTTTCCAGGTACCATCTGTTACGGCTTCCCTTGGCTAGGAAAGGGAAATCCCCTGACCCCCCTTGCGCTTCCCGGGTGAGGCGATGCCCTGCCCTGCTTTGGCTCACCCTCTGTGGGCTGCACCCACTGTCCAACCAGTCCCAATGAGATGAACCAGGTACCTCTGTGAAAATGCAGAAATCACCCGTCTTCTGTGTCGGGCACGCTGGGAGCTCCAGACCAGAGCTGTTCCTATTTGGTCATCTTGGAATGGAATAGCCTAAAATCAGTATATTTAAGAGGGCATATTAAATAGGTACATTAGAGTTACATGTGTTAACATGGATGAATCTCATAAAACAATACTATATACTGTTTAGGGATACATATAAAGTTATTTTTTAAAGAATAGGAATGATAGATTCAGCAAAATAGTTAACTGTAGGATAGAAGGAGATTTGGTTGGGATAGGCTACACAGAAGCTTTCAATTTTAACGGTAGTTTTTTTTTTTAAGTTCAGTGGTGGATAGATGGGATGATGGCATATATGTCTGAAAGATTTCCAGCATTTTTAAAGTTGTTTTTAAACATATGTCAGTTTGAGTTATTTGGCCTCACTCTAATCTACCATTGGCCCCATCACTTAACCACTAGGATTTCAACATTGTGTTAGCTGCCTGGCCCCTATAAGCAACTGCATTTGTGACCTTAATTTAGAAGTTAGGTAAGTGCTTGGTTTACCTTGTTTTTTACAGTTAATTTCTTGTTGAACTATAGCATATATACTGAAAAGTACACAGGGCACAGCCTGATGAACTTTTTATAAAGTAAATATAGCTATGTGATCAGCACTCAGATCAAGAAACAGAACATCCCTAACACCCAGTACCCTCTTCCAGTAACTGTCACCCACAAGGCTAATTAACCATCCTGATTTCTAACACCCCATTCAAATGTTAACAGTTGCTGAAAATGTCCAGTAGCTAGTGAAAGAGATGTTTGCACTCTACAGATAGGAAACAAGATATTGAGAGATGGAACTGTTGATTTAAATAAAATTTTGGATGAAAATTTTCCTGATTTAGGGGTAGGTTCGGTAACGTTAATTGTTGTGTGTGAATGGTTTGGGGATAAGAGGAAGCAAATATGGAAAAACGTATAATTTGGAGATTTATAAGTATATATTAAATGATTTTGTCCTCCAAAATGATAATTTTCTTTGAAGAGAGACTTGTGAGTATCATCTTTATGAATTAGTTTTAAAATATAATTCAACATATAAGAATTCCATTTATTCAACTTTTATAATATTGTGTCAGTGAAACACAAGACTCTGCCTGTTCTCCACCCCATTCCATTCTTCTGGTCTGATATGTCTGCTTCTTGCACATTGACAGTTCTAATTATACACATTCAAAAGGGTTTTGAATGCCAGGTACCACAATTCAAATATATTAGCCACAAATTTTTGAATTACATTAGCCACAAAATCTCACTGTTATATTCATGAGTCATGTCCATTTGGAGGCCTATAAGCACTAGAAACCAAATGAGTTATCTCAGTACATTTAAATGGCTACAGAGTGTATATCATTTTTTGCATGATTAAACTTAGGATTGCTTTTTGCAAGTTTTAAAGATTCTCTGTAATTTTTTTTTTTTTTTTTTTACAACTCATGACCCTTTTTCCCCCTTCTGGAGTATATAAATATGTGTAAATATATATGTTTAAATGTTTTATTTTTTAAAATTTTTTTTGTATTTTTGTTTTTCCTCTAGATAAAAGTTAAACAGCTAGAAGAACAAGTACAGTCTTTTACTGACACCAGCTTACAGAATGATCATCTACGCAAGATGAATAAGTATTTACAGACTAAATATGCTCAGGTGTGATTAATATCTACAAAAGCGGATTGCTGCTATATTTCGTTTTTAAGAAATTGTTTGATGTCTTTTTCCCCACTTTACCACACAATCCCAGAAAGATAAATATGCTGTCACTTGACTCAGTTTAACAAACTTTTTTTCAAGCACCTAGTACATACAAGGTTCTGCTAAAGCCTCAGAAATTGTAAAGATACCTGAAGCAGGATTGAGACATTCAACTTGCTTATTATAGTTAGGAAATGTACTCCATAAACTTTATTAGAGAATAGAAAGTTATGCTTTTCAGAAAAATAGATTGTATTACTGAACATTCATAGGGAGCATTATTATGAGTAGAAGCAGTGAGAAATGCTTTCATAAAGGCAGTGCTTTTTAAAATTTTGGCAGTTGTGAGGAACAAGTATCTTTGTTTTTTGAATTAAAGGCAAACTCAGAACTCAGTGCCAAGAGGGTACACCTGCAGCAGGCAGATGCTCACCTGAAAGAAGTATTGGTAATGAAAGTGCTTACTTGTCAGCATGGTGGCTCTTGAAGCTAAAAACCTTTCATAGTTCACATAATATTTTAACGAATGAATAGAAAAAGTTAAGCAAGATAACAAAAACATTTAGTGAAGAACATACCCCAGGAAGGTGTTACCAGAAGAAAGTGACTCATTTCAATTATTTACAAATTTAGCACTCATATCATTAGGTTATTTTTTAAATCATTAACTCTTAATAAAAGCATATGTAACTTCTGTGTCTATGATATTTGTGTATCTATACCCCTGGTAACCAAGGAACTAAAATATGTTTTCAAATGGAATACTCATAGAGTTCTAACCACTTGACTCTGCTGATGAGTGATGAGGTCACAGAGTTGTTAAAGGAGGCCTCATTAGATGCGCTCTCTGACAGGGAAGTTGGCATAAGGTCTGTTTCTTTGCTGGGTCATATTTTACAGTGTGATCTCTTCACTCTGAAAGCAGAGAAACACATTTTCAATATATTTTCCATTACGGCTCCTTCTAGAACACTGTGTTGTTTCTCCTAGTAAAGGGGCTATTCCTTGAAAAATAACTCTAGGTTTAGCTGATTTTATTGTTTTTATTAATAATTGACGATGCCTCTAAGAAAAAGGAAATCCCCAGAGAGGACTGCATCTTCAAAATCCCCCGAAATCTCTAGGTCCCATGTAAACAGTATAAAGGAAAGAACGTCATCAGTTGGTTTGCCTAGTGTTATTCCAAACTCTACACGCCGTGTGAGCTTTGCACCTAACCTGCCTTCTATGAAAACATCTCAGGATATTGGAGACTCTAGGATCTCTCTAAAGACTCTTTTGAATGCTATTAAAACCATGGAGGGAAGACTGGAAGGCAAAATAGAGATTCTAGCCTCAAGACCTTTAATAAATGATGAATCACCAAATTTTCTTAAACAGGACTCGGTAAGTGAAGACCACAAATTAAATCTTAAGGAAGTTTTAAATTTATACAAGAATGAAATATTAATCCAGAAATATAATGCTTGAAGATATGACTAACAAGGAAATAAGGTTCTTCACAAATAGAAAAAAGACTAATATAGATTGAAACCATTATCCTAGCCATCACATAATTAGTTTTAGACATAGAACATTTGGCGTAACAGTAACTACTGAGTTTTTTATATAATTTTGATTTTTTAAAAAATTCAAAATTTCTACCTAATCTTAACATTTGAGCTAAAATGCTTGGATAAAGCCTCATTTTCAAATAGAAAATTAATTCAAGAAACCCCAAGAAATTTAACATTGGAAAATATTTTCTTGAGAAAACTTATTAGAGCATTCATCTTTATCTGATATTTAGAAATAGAAAATACTATAGCTTATCTTCTAGAGTGGGCTACTATTACCGGAAGGAGGGCTGTGAGTGTTAGTTGTCCAGGTCCTTGGTGTTTTGAACAAAGAATTGAAAAAATCGCGCAAAGTAATGAAGGAAGCAGCGAAAGCAGGGATTTATTAAAACGATGAAAGAACTCCATAGGGTGTGGAGTTTTCTGGGTTTTAAGTACTCCTTTTGAGGTCCCTATGGCTACCTCTTATCTGGATGAAGGATTTGGCCTGTGGCTAATTAAAGGCTCAGGTGAATTGATGCCCTATGCTGATGAAGGGATGGCCCATGCTTGGCTCCGGGCCAATCCAAGACACTCTCCCTTTCCATCTGAGACATGGTGGAAGCGGGAGGAGTGTAGGGAGAGTAGTAGCCTTTGATCCTTTGCTACTTGCTGGGGAGATGGGGTTTTTCCTTTTGGTGTAGCTTTTGTAAGTTGGTGTTAATTGGACTTAGCTTCCCGGTCGCAAGACCCAGGTGTTTTCCTTTTGATCCAGCTTTGGGAAGTCAGCAAAAATTGGCCTCACTTTTCCTGTCCCCAGACCTTGGTGTTTTTCCTTGATCCAGCTTTAGGAAATCAGCATGAATTGGCCTTAGGTTCCCTGCCTCCAGACCCTATTCTCCTGCCTCACTACTATTTAGATGTCTTCTGTAAACATCTAGTGGCATTTTTGCATTTATATGTGTGTATATACATACTGATATATACATACACTTAAAAAACTGGTAGAATTTTTAAAATGATATTCTTGTATACTTTTCTAGAACAAAATTCAGTAGATTATCAGGACCTGTAAGTTGCCGTCTTTTGCACTTTTCTGGGATCCTTTTCTGTAGAAAAAGTTAAATATTTTAAATGTTACAGGTTCAAGTTTAAGGATGTTTTATAACGTTGAGGTAGATGTGGGGAAAAGACATCCTCCTTTGTTACCGTTGGGATTATGAAACAGTACAACTTCCTATGGAGTTCCTATGCCTTCCTATGGAGGGCAATTTAGCAATATTTATCACAACTTTGACCCTACAATTGTCCTTCTAGGACTTTTTCCTACTGATATACTGGCTTGTACACATGACATGTATACAAGGTCACTTACTGAAGTATTGCTGGCTAATAGCAACAGAGGAAGCAACCAAAATCTTATCAATAAGAGACTGGCTAAATAATAGTTTGTATCCATAGTTTTGCAATACTGCTTCAAGATATATATATATTATTAGGTTTAAACAGTAAAAGTTCAGAAGAGTATATGTAATATTTTACTATTTGGATGTAAAAAGGGTGGGGAGATAAAGAATATATACGTATGTATTCACTTGTATAAGCATAGACTGTCTAAAATGACCCATAATAAACTGGCAACATTATTTTTGAGGAAGGAGACTGGGCAGCTGGGATGTTTTTCACTTAATCTTTTTGTACTTTAAAAATAATGTGAATGTACTACCCATCCAAAATAGTTTGATGAACGTTTTCTTTTCAACAAAACTGAAAGCAGAGAAAGGACAGTCTTTTCAACAAACGGTGCCGGGATAATTGGATATCCATATGCAAAAACAAAATATCTTTGCTCCATACCTCACAAAATGTATAAAAATTAAAATGGATCATAGATCTAAATGTAAACCCTGAAACTGTAAAACTTTTAGAAGAAAACATAGGAAGAAATCTTTATGATCTTGGATTACACAAAGATTTCTTAGATTTGATATCAAAAGCATGATCCATAAAGGGACAAAAATGATAAATTGGAGTTTATCAAAATTGACAACTTATGCTCTTCAGAAACATTAAGGGAATGAAGAGACAAGCTACAGACTGGGAGGAATTATTTGCAAATCACATATCTGATTAAGGCCTTGTTTCCAGAAGGTACTACAAATAATTTTTAAGATTTAAATACTAAGAAGAAAACCTAAGAAAAAGAATAGGCAAAAATTTAAACAGTTTCTTCAGCAAAGTTATGTGGCTGGTAAATAAGTGCTTGAAAAGGGGTTAAGCATCAGTCATTAGGGAAATGCAAATAAAATCACAGTGAGATACTACCACACACCTATTATGGGTACAGCCACTTTAGAAAATAGTTTGGGAATTTCTTTAAAAGCGAAACATACTACCACCATATGACCCAGTCAGTGCACTACTAAGTATTCACCAAAGACAAATGAAAGTATGTCTCCACACAGACTTGTACACAGGTGTTCACATCAGCTGTATTTGTAATAACTTAAAACTGGAAACAACTTAAGTGTCCACCAGGTGAATGGATAACTAAATTGTGATGTCCCTACAATAGAATACTAAGCAACAGAAAGAACTATTGATACATGCAGCAGATTGAATAACTCTCAAAATAATTACACTGAGTGAAAGAAGTTATTCAAAAAAGAGTGCATACAATACAATTCCATATAAAATTCTAGAAAATACAAACTCATATATTGTAACAGAAAACAGATCAGTGGTTACCTGTGAGAATCACCAGAAGTGTGGGAATAGAGAGAGACAGAAGGGGAAGATTACAAAGGAGCTTAAGGAAACTTTTGGAGATGATGGAAATGTTCAATATCTTAATTATTGTTTCAAAGTCTTATACGTATGTGAAAACTTATCAAAATGTACACTTTAAGTATGTGTAGCTTATTGTATATCAGTTATACCTCAGAAAAGCTGTTAAAAAAGAAAAATCATATATTACCTATTCAAAAATGTATTAAATGTTTAAAATAACATTCTTTTTTTTTTTTTTTTTTTTTTTTTTGAGACAGAGAGTCTCGCTGTGTCGCCAGGCTGGAGTACAGTGGCGCCATCTTGGCTTGGCTCACTGCAACCTCTGCCTCCTGGGTTCAAGCGATTCTCGTGCCTCAGCCTCCCAAGTGGCTGGAATTACAGGCGCCCGCCACCACGCCCAGCTAATTTATTTTTTATTTTTATTTTTATTTTATTTTTTTGTATTTTTAGTAGAGACAGGGTTTCACCACGTTGGCTAGGATGGTCTCCATCTCCTGACCTCATGATCCACCTGCCTTGGCCTCCCAAAGTGCTGGGATTACAGGGGTGAGCCACCACGCCCAGCCTAAAGTAACATTCTTGACAGAACTGTAGAAATAGAGAACAAATTACTGTACATCAGTGTAGTATGGGAAAGAAAAGAACAAATTAGTGGTTGCCAGAGGACAGGATGAGTTTTTGGAGGGAAGAGTGAATACAGAGATAGCACAAGGGAATTCTTTTCTGGTGATGGAAATTTTGTGTCTTGACTGTGGCAGTGGCAGTCATGTGAATATGTAAATAGGATAAAATTGCATGGAACTGTGTGCATGCACATATACACATGCATCCACACATAGATGAATGAAGGTTGAAAAAAATGGCAAAAATTGAATAAATTATGTGATCTAGTTAGTCAAGTTAACAATAATGTATGCATGTCAATTTCCTGGTTTTGATGTTGAACTACAGAGATATGAGATGTCAGCAAAAGAAGCAGGATAAAGGGGCGGGGCGTGGTTTCTCGCGCCTGTAACCCCATCACTTTGGGAGGCCGAGGTGAGCAGATCACCTGAGGTTAGGAGTTCGAGACCAGCCTGACAAACATGGTGAAACCCCTTCTCTACTAACTACAAAATTTAGCTTGGTATGATAGTGCACACCTGTAATTCCAGCTACTTGGGGAGGCTGAGTCAGGAGAATCGCTTGATCCCGGAAGGTGGAGGTTGCAGTGAGCCCAGATCATGCCATTGCACTCCAGCCTAGATGACAGAGCGAAATTCAGTCTCAAAAAAAAAAAAGCAGGATGAAGGGTACATCGGACTCTGCACTATTTTTGCAACATCCTGTGAGCCTAAAATTATGAAGTAAAAAGTTTAAAAGGGGTAATATTTAAAATAGTATGATTATCTGAACTGATGGTGTGGCTCTACCAAAACTGTTTCAAGGATATGAGGTTCTAATACTATACTTCTAATTAGGATTCATTCTGCTGTAACACTGTTTTCTTGAATTTTCTTGTATTTCTTTCTAAATACACTATTTAGTATTTATACATCTTTGCTTTTATAATATCAATTTGTGCTTTTTTTAATATTTTCAAAAGGAAGCTAGTCTCATAATAATTTCTCTCCCATTTTACATCTCAGCTTCATAGATAGTCTTATTCTCCCTATTCTTGTGTTTTCATGGAGATTAATGTATTGGATTTGTCTATGTTTATTCACACAGATATTTTTGTTGTAGTTTCCTTTAAAGGAATAAGCAGCTAATAAAGATGGGTTCTATTTATAGTAGTGAATAAATATATTTAAACATTTAAAATTTGGTTTCTAAATTTCTATGTCTTATTCTAATCACTGATTTGTAATGTTATTTATTGTTTCTTTTTTCCTACTTAGGTGAAATCTATTCTTGAAAGAAGTAAAGAGGAGCTGTCCCGAACAGTGAAGTGTCGTAATGCGGCCCTGAAAGAGAGTCAGAAGTTGAAAGAAGACCTCGAGGCTGTGGAGGACAGGGAAAACAAGAAGGCAAGGAATCAGTCCCTTCTGACCGTCTGTCACTGAGAAGAAGCACTTATGAAATCTTTCATGAGCCATATGTTTCGCTTTCTTGCTTCCATTAGAATAAGGATTGATCAGGGGAGGATTTCTTTTTCTGGAGAAAAGATAATTTTAGAATAGTTTAAAATTTTTCCCTTAAAAATACATTATATGTATCTAACTCCCAATGTTTTTTTTTTAACTTTCTGTCTTAAATACTCAAAAGAGAAAGTTCTAATTTTTTCTTTTGAAACACATCTGATCTTGGTAATAATAACCTTTATAGTTATGTTTTATTAATGTGGTGTAAGATTTCTATGATGCTTTCTCCTTAACAGTGTGTGTATGCTTAGTGGGAATAGAGGTCACATCCCAAACTTCTCTTTGTCAGCAAGTGCTGGATTTTGTCTCTCTGAGGAGGGCTGTGAGTTACCTCATTCTTCAGCAGCTTCCACTTTCTCTTACAGTCTTTTTTTCTCAGATAATTCTAATGCGTTTCAGATGTATTATTCTCATCTGACCCCGTCAGAAGACAGCTGAGAGGCCAGCCTGGCGCCACCTCTGGACGCAGGTTGTGCTGAGTCAGGCCTCTCTGGTTAATGTGTATGCTGTAACATGACCACAGTTGGGAAGCTGCAGAGTTCACCAACTTTTCTGGGGATCAGCTTTTCTTTTTCTCAACAATAACTTAAGAAACCACCTAAAAATAAAATATACTTTAATTATTCCCACTAGCATCCTACTGTGTCTGCTTGTCTGCTTTCCATGCTCTTTCCTGGGAGTAATGAGATCCACAAGCAGAAGAGTAACCAGAAAGGATCAAATGTCTTTGTGTTGTTTCATTTTCTGTTAGGTGGGAAACTTTCAGCGACAATTGGCAGAAGCTAAAGAAGACAACTGCAAAGTCACAATCATGTTGGAGAATGTGCTGGCTTCTCACAGTAAGATGCAAGGTGCTCTGGAGAAAGTACAAATAGAGCTTGGGCGGAGGGATTCAGAGATTGCAGGCCTCAAGAAAGAAAGGTACCTGTGGTTTTTTTTCCCTGTCATTGGTATTGCTGGATTGTACTAAGGAGCAGTGTCAAGTCAATAAATGAAGTCACTTTATGTAGCTTCCTTTACAAAAAAAAAAATTGCAAAATGATATGTTGAAAGAATTCCTAAGTTAGAGAAAATTTAGAATTAGAAATAAATATTATTTCCAAAAATTCAAAATGCCCCTATTGTGTAGTGATGTGAAGGAATTTCTAGACTATATATCCTAGAAATTCACTAGCTGTACTGTTGTTTTACCCTTGCTTTCTGCACCATGTAAACCTAATTCTTTCCTTGCTTCTACAGAATAGTAACTGTCAAGATAATTGAAACTAAGTACATACTTTAGTTTGAATTAATTATCCATTTATTACTATCCTGTTTCAAGATTAATAATTATTTTAGGTGAATCATTCTGAGAACCACTTCTAGCCATGTTTTATAAGTAAATTCCTTTATAGAATGTTTCAAAAATTAAATAAAATTTCCTTTTAGGTTAAAGAATAAATGGTCTGAGTTTAATAGGGCATATTGCCTCTATGTTATGAGAGAACAAGTGAGTTTTCTTTTCTCTTTTTTTACATTACATATTGTTTATCTTTTTTACATAGTATGAAAGTATATTGCCTTTGCATTTTTAAAAGGTCAAGGGAATGGTATTAAAAATACTATTCACAATAAATTTATAAGTGGCTGTTATATGTAGATGCAAAAATCTCAACAGCAAGTCAATCTTTGTAAAGGCAATATATTTTGTACTAGTGATATTTACTAGTGATATATAAGTATGATGCTATTTGAGCTTCTTAGAAGAAAAGTGTTCTGTAACTCCCAAATGGTATCATTCCTACACGATTCTTTTCTGTAGTCACTCTTTTTGTGCTTTTTATTTTTAGGGATCTCAATCAACAGAGGGTGCAGAAGCTGGAAGCTGAAGTGGACCAGTGGCAGGCCAGGATGCTTGTCATGGAGGACCAGCACAACAGTGAGGTTGGAGCCAGGCTTTAAAAAATGATAACATTGATATTTTTAGTTTTATTGGGATATTACTGTTTTTGGGAAAATGAAGTGAAACTATCAGGTAAATGTTTTTTTCAATCAAGTCTGAGTTTTGGACAGTGACATATCTACAAATGGGAAATTGACCTGTCTTACAATGAGTCACTTATTGGCAAACCAGTACCACAATAATGACTAAACTCTTTGTCTTATATGGTCTTATATGGTCTACATTTTTATTCATTTATTAATGCACAAAAAATGTCAGAAGTTAATAGGCTTAGAAAATATAGTCTGTCAGAAACACCTGGAGTGATCCCACTATTAATAAGGAGTCACCTACACACACATGTGCTCACAGGTATATATTTACTTACATGCATACATATCTATATGCACATATATAAAATACACATGAATATTTCATAAATAAGGTTTTTTTTCTGTAAGAATCTATAAGAAACAGTGGACAGGTTTTTTTCTTCAAGGGAGTGAGACCAGAAGGTCATAGGATCAGGAAGGGTAATTTAGTTTAAAATTTAAAAAATTAGGATAAATTAAGCTGGGTCTGTTTTCCAAAGTTCTCTGGTGACCAATGGAGCATGGCCTTCCCATTGCCTTCTAAGTGTTTCCTGAGCAATGTCTCTAATGAGTTCTCATTCATATATGTGTGTGCATATATATATATATATTTTCCAGGCAGCTGGAATCTTTGCTTCTGGTTCCAACTAATTATTGTTTCAATGGTACTTGATGATAGAATGTGAGGAGTGATTACACAGTGTTATGGACTTCTTGCATCTGTCCATTACAGTGGAATTGAAAACATGCTTCTCTCTTTCAGATTGAATCTCTACAAAAAGCTCTAGGTGTAGCTAGAGAAGACAACAGGAAACTTGCTATGAGTCTGGAACAAGCTCTCCAGACAAATAATCATCTGCAAACAAAGCTAGATCACATTCAAGAGCAATTGGAAAGCAAAGAACTTGAGCGACAGAATTTGGAAACCTTCAAGTAAGAGCATTATAGTTGCAGTAAAATTAGGGAAGCACCTCTGGAGGAGTAAGTCACATTCCCATAAATGGCTCATTCGCATAAATCAGTTAAACTCTTTTCTCCTACTTTGCCCTAGTACTTCCAGCAGAGCCATGTTAAGAACCAGGCATACCTGAGCACCAGCAGGTAATAGCTGGCTAGAGCATGATCATTTGACTCTCCTTCTCAGCTCTTCCTTCATCCACTATCTAGCTGCTGCTTTACTCAAAGGTTAAATCAAAACTTAAAGAATATTGATTAGAAGGGACGTTCACATGTTTCTATGAAGGCTTTTCTATTAACAGCTTATATGTCCTTTAAAGGCAGATTTAGACAAGAAAAAACATCAGCCTGGGTGGAATGACTCCATCTAAGCAGATGTTAAGCCATTAAATGTTTTCAGTTTTGACCTGAGATTACTTAGATCAGACTTATCCAGTTCAGGTCAAATGACTAAAGTTTTGCCTTAAATTATACCTCGGTAAATATTTAGATAATAATAGCATCCCATGAAAATTTATACTTAAGGGAAATGCAGTGTGCACGTACATCTTTATTCCTTTTTATTTATTTATTTATCTGAGACTGGGTCTCGCCCTGTTGCCCAGGCTGGAGTTCAGTGGTGTGATCATGGCTCACTGCAGCCTCTACTTCCTGGGCTCATGCAGTTCTCCCACCTGAGCCTCCTGAGTAGCTGGAACTACAGGCATGCATCACCACACCTGGCTAATTTTTTTTTTTTTTTAAGAGATAGGGTTTCTCCATGTTGCCCAGGGTGGTCTCAAAACTCCTGGGCTCAAACAATCCACCTGCCTGGCCTCCCAAAGTGCTGGGATTACAGGCATGAGCCACTGTTCTCAGCCTAGATATTTATTATTTTCAATTAGTGAGCATGTTGATACAGGAAAGAGGTACAAGCTAAAGCAGAGATGGTATTTTCCAGATATATGATCTCTGCAAATTTTATATTCAGCTGAAATGTTACTGCCTTAAGACTGTTCCATATTGTGTTTATGTAGTCGTTGGCAGCATCATTTAAAACTCTCCAATGTCAGTTTAGGTAATTATGATTTAGAGAGCTAGTAATTGTTTCAAAGCCTGAAAATTATTTAGGTGACTATAAAATGTAGTCCCTGCCACTACTGCTTAAAACAAGCAAAACCAAAGGAAAAAAAAAATGATTAGGTCATTTACAGGAAAAGGATGAGGTGAGAGTTAGAGGTCTCCTTGCAGCATTTGCTTCAGGATTTACCCTTATGCCACTGCTTATGATAATAGTTTGTATTTTCATCAAAGGTGAATCAACCTTCTTTACTTGAGATCTTTGAACCTCCTGAAATCATATGCAGAACTGTATTTATCAGTGCACATGGTTAGGAAGACAGAGCAGGTTTTGGAGAACTTGCTGGGTTTCAGGTACAGTTACTTAATTTAGACTTAGAAATGCAGGCTTAGTTCTAAGAAGAGGCTACTAGTTGGAATTCATCTCCATAAAGATAAAAGCTAAACGCCGGGTGCGGTGGCTCACACCTGTAATCCCAGTACTTTGGGAGGCCAAGGTGGGCGGATCACGAGGTCAGGAGATCGAGACCATCCTGGCCAACATGGTGAAACCCCATCTCTACTAAAAATACATACCTGGGTGTGGTGGTGTATGCCTGTAGTCCCAGCTACTCGGGAGGCTAAGGCAGGAGAATCGCTTGAACCTGGGAGGCAGAGGTTGCAGTGAGGTTGCAGTGAGATCAGGCCACTGCACTCCAGCCTGGGTGACAGAGCAAGACTCCATCTCAAAAAAATAAAAAGATAAACGCTAAAGCTTTGGTGTGGGTTAGACTGCCATGGGAAAAGTATAGAGAGAGAACCAAGGTCAGAACTTGGAGATGTGTTGCATTTCAGGTAGAAGTTGAACAGAGGCCACAGAAGGATCCAGAGAAGGAGCATTTAGTGGAGGTAAGGAAAGAGTTGGTAGAATGTAGTATCACCAGAGTCAAACACAAGTGAGTCAGATGCTGCAGAGTCAAAGAGACCAGAGAGGAAGCCACTGGGTTTTGCAACAGGTATCTACCAATCATCCTCCAGATGGCCAGTTTCTGTAGATATAGAAGATCACAAAGAGTAAGTGATTGATGAGGAAAGGCAGGCAAAGAGGACAATGGTGAAGATAAAGAAGATCAGATAGCAGCTCAAGAGCATAACATGAAGAAAAGTTATTCTGCTGCTGCCCTGTTTTTAGAATGGGAGGAACTGGACCATGATTAAAGATTATGGAAAAGAACTCAATCGAACTGGAGAAAAGAGAGAGTATAAGAGGAAGGGTTATCTTTAAAGATGAGGTTGGACATTTCTTCCTTTGGGACTAGCGGGAAGCAGAAGCTGAGTGAGTCTTCAGAAGACTGTTAAGGAGGCTGATTGGTAGATGGTCTGCGATTTTCCTTAGAAGAAAAAAGAGCAAGATGAATACATTCTAGAGATCTGCTATATAACATAGGGCTATAATGAACAACAGTATATTGTATGCTTAAAATTTGTTAAGAGGGTAGATCTCATGTTAAATGTTCTTACCTCAGTAAAAAGAAGAAGAAAGTAAGAGTTGAAGTTGAAGTGCTATGTAGGGGCTCAGGGCAGAGGTAGAGACTTGAGAGAAATTTTAAAATTAAAAATTAAAGTTAATACAAAATTTAATTTAAAAATCTAAAATTTAGAATTTAAATTTTTAGAGCTAGATGATGATGATGACAGTAGCTAACATTTGTTACATGCTCATGATATGTTGGGTAATATGCTAAGGACTTCACATGCATTATTTCCTTTAGTACAAACTATTACCCTATGATGGTGGTTACTGTTGTTATTCCCATTTTGAAGATAAGGAAACAAGCAGGGGAAGGTGGTGTACCATACTCAAGGTCAGACATCATCTTACTAGAGCTGGGATTAGATCCAGGCAGCAGCAGGCTGACTCCAAAACTTATAGTCTTAATCATTTTGATATAATCACAATAAATTTAAAGGCAATTTAGAAAGTTTCTTATAATTTTCAAAATACAGCACTGTAAAAATGATGGTTTTCTCTTTCTATATCTCCATGAATTTTTTGCTCATTTTTCAGATTGAGGTGTGGGCATGGGGAGGAGTGTGGGAATATAAGAAATAACCATAATTATATCCAATGACTTCAGGATCTCCATCCCTTTATGCTGTGCCTTGAGGACAGGTGTCAGCAACTTTTTAGATGTGATGTACCAAAGTATATTGATACATTCCTGCCTGGGGTACTGGAGGGACAGTTGCAGTTACCACCTGCAAGTCTCATGTATAGACCAAGCCACTGAATGCTGCCAAGTGGAGAAACTGAATCCATTAGTAGATGTGCTTTTAGAGACACGTGGAGAACATGGATATATTATACAAATAAGAGCAAGAGATGGTCAGGAGGAGAGAGAGGGAAAATGAAGGTGATTTCATGGCAGGGCAGGCTTCTCCTATCCTTTGAGAAAGAACCAATAACTCAAGAGTAATCATACAGTAAGTCATTATCAGCTAGATCAGAGAATGTTAAAGCTGGAATAAGCCTAGTAATTGTTTAAATCCGTTTAGTCCTTTTTGGAGTCACTTATCCTTTTAAAAGTCAGAAGCTACGGACTCAGCTACACTCCCTCACACACACACATTTTGCATATTATTTCAGGCAATTCCAGCATCCTCAGAAGATTAATCATGGGTCTTGAACAAGGAGTTCAAGTTAGGAATGCTGATCTAATTTAAGGCTCTCAGTTTAAAGATAAGGAAACAATATTATTACAAGTTAAAACTTAAGTAGTAAATAGCTGCTAGCAAAAAGACATCATCTTACTAGAGCGGAGATTACAATCCAGGCAGCAGCAGGCTGACTCCAAAACCCATAGTCTTAATCACTTTGCTATAATGTTTTGTTTGAAAAGACAAAGGCAAAAGAAAAGACAAAAGCAAGTATCTCTTAAAGTGTTTCTTCTTCCTCCAGTATTTTTCTTCGATGTGAGTTTTTTACTCGTTTGGTTGGATCTCTTTATGTAGAATTAATGTTTTTTAATGCTACAGGTAAATTCACTTCTTTTTTCTTCTGTTAATGAGCTCCAAATTAGTGAGGTTCACCAGGCTACTGATAGGCTGCTTGTTTATAAATCACACACCTTTTGGAGAGTTGCACACTCCCCTCCAAAACTTTCTTACCTCCTAAAATGATTTCTAAAGGTGACTTATCACCTCTCTTCTTCAAAACAGAGACCGGATGACTGAAGAGTCCAAAGTGGAAGCAGAATTGCATGCTGAACGCATAGAAGCTCTAAGAAAGCAGTTTCAAACCGAGAGAGAAACTACAAAGAAAGTGGCACAACGGGAAGTGGCTGAGGTATAGTCATGAGAAAAGTTTCTCTTTTGGTGAATGCCTCTTAGGATAAGCAGCTCAAGGATTTCAGAGAATGGCTACAGTTGTTCTTTGACTCCTCTCATCCCCCTTTGATCAGCAGGCCAGATGTAATTAAGACCTCTCTGTAAAGCAACACACAAGAAAAAAGTTTCTGACATAATTCTCTGCCCGACAAAGGTGTGCCTTGATGGGAGATTTTCCATCAGAGAGTGATAAGCAAGAGGGATAGAGGAATAAGGAGACTGCCATTTGATAGACAGAAGAGAAATCATCTGTCTTCTCAGTTCATTTAACTGGCATCTATTCTGCATCTACCATTTCCTGAGAGGCACAGAGAAAACAGTAGAAGATATGGTCCATGCCCCAGTGTGTGCCAAATGACCCTTGTTTGGGATCTCCACTCCGGAAATGAGATATATAGGGAAAACATCAGAGAACTTTCTTGGGTAGCAGAGGCTGTGTACAACTTTGAAGGAATTCAAAGTAAGAGAAAGTTTATTTTAGGCCATTTGGTTGATAGAAGAAGAGAGGCTTAATGAGAGTACAGGATTGAGACTAGCAGAAATGGCAGGGCTGGACACCTTATGAAACAGCACAGGCCATGCTTACTTACAAAAATGAACAGGACATGTGAGCAGATGAAAAGTAGCCTTTCTTGATTAGAGCAGAGACTTTGGAAAATGTTAGAGAGAGAGTGTTAGCTTAAATGGGACCACCTGATGGATGGCCTTAGTTATAGAAATGTTGGATGTGTGCTCTTAGGTAGAAACGGAGCACTATGGGTTTCTGAGCAGGGGGTGGTATGATAGAAGCATGAGTTTAGGAAGGTTAATGTAACAGCAGAGGACAGTAGAGGATAATGAAGAGAAACTGGAGGCATGGAGGCTCGAGAAAACTATAACAGTTAATTCGAGTATTAGATGATTAGGGCCAAGCAAAGTAGTTCAGTTGAAAATAGAAAACAATTAAGTCAGAAAGCCCATTTTAATAGAAAAAAAATCAAACAGGCCAGGCGAGGCGGCTCATGCCTGTAATCCCTGCACTTTGGGAGGCTGAGGCAGGTGGATTACCTGAGGTCAGAAGTTTGAGACCAGCCTGGCCAACATGGTGAAACTCCATCTCTACTAAAAATACAAAAATTAGCTGGGTGTGGTGGCAGGCGCCTGTAATCCCAGCTATTCAGGAGGCTGAGGCACAAAAATCGCTTGAACCCGGGAGGCAGAGCTTGCAGTGAGCCGAGATGGTGCCACTGCACTCCAGCCTGGGCGACAGAGTGAGACTCCGTCTCAAAAAAAAAGAAAAAGAAAAAAATTATCAACCAGACATTAAATGTTGTATCCTGGAGAGGGAGGGATTAAAATAATTCCTTGGTTGGCATGGCTGGTCTGTGTTTCACCAAATTTGTTACGTTTAGTAGTTGCAATTGACAGACCATTCACAAAATCAAACTCAAATAATGGTATATAAAACAATTTTGTGAATTGCAAAGCACTATATAAATACAAATGTTATAAAAAGCAAATTCTGCTTTTTATAGAAGAATTAGGGAACATAAAGGTGTGCTAAATGTAGAAATGTACCTTTAGTCGGAGATCATTGTTAAGAATACTTACAGCCGGGCACAGTGGCTCATGCCTGTAATCCCAGCACTTTGGGAGGCTGAGGCAGGGGGATCACGAGGTCAGGAGATCAAGACCATCCTGGCTAACATGGTGAAACCCTGTCTCTACTAAAAATACAAAAAATTATCCAGGCATAGTGGTGGGTGCCTGTAGTCCCAGCTACTCGGGAGGCTGAGGCAGGAGAGTGGCATGAACCTGGGAGGCGGAGCTTGCAGTGAGCTGAGATCGCACCACTGCACTCTAGCCTGGGCTCCAGAGCACGACTCTGTCTCAAAAAAAAAAAAAAAAAAAAAAAGAATACTTACAAAATGAAATCATTTGAAGAAGGATCAGTGACAGTGGAGAACAGTGAGAGAGTGACAGCAGTGAGAAGTTGGCAGCAGCAATGGGCTCAGGGAGCACTGCCTGAGTCAAGTTTGTCTTGAGTATTAAATTGGAAAGCATTTGTAAAGTAATTATCACAGTGCCTGAACATAATACTCAGTACAAAGTAAATGATAGTTGTTAGTGCTTATCCAGTTTTAGAAAGGCTGTGATTGAGGTAACTGGAATATCTAACAGGAAGTTAGTTGGGTAGTAATAAAAGACTGTAGTGTAAAGTTAGGATCTAAAAGAAGGAACTAGTATAGAGAGAAAAGGTACAGATATCCTTGACTTCACTCTTTGCTGTGTTAAATGCTACCATCCATAGAGAATACCACCTTCCTGTCTTCTCCCTTCTCAACTACCTCCTCTTCCTAAAGTTTTCAAGTGGCAATGGTTTAAGGGCATATTAGAAGGCGTGAACGCTGTAAAATTATTTAAGTAACTACTATGCAGTTTTTTTTTCACGAGAGAAGTTTATTAAAATCCTTAAGAACAAAAAGCAAAATTATAAAAATATATGCCATGGCAGTCAGTACCTGACAGATATTTATATAAACTGCCATATAATTCATTTTCATTTCTTCAGACATGAGGTTGCAAGTGACAGAGAAGAGCTTATAGCATGATAATCACAGAGTAATTGTGTGTGCCAGCCTCTACTTCTTTCTTTATATGATCTTATTTAATTTAATTGTTATTTGTATTCTATGAAGTAGGCTATACACACACTGTTCAGATGATGAACCTGAGGCTTAAGGTAGTTAATTGCTCCAGATCACTCAGCTAGTAAGTACTGAAGCTGATATTTGGACAGATGCCTGACTCCAAAGTCATGCTCTTAAAATGCAAATGATGAATATACATTTGCATTCTTTATTCCAAAAAAGATTTTGTTCTTTAGTGATAAAAATCATGAAAACCACTTGGTCTATTGCTCCATAAATCTGCTTAATCAGACATTATTATTGCCTCACTAACTCTCCTTTTTAAAAGAAGATCCAAAGATGATAAAATATAAGGACAAAACTAAGTAAGCTTCTCTTAATGGAAAGTAAAAATGTTTCAATTTTCTCCCTTGTGTTTTAAGCTGAAGAAAGCCCTTGATGAAGCTAACTTCAGATCAGTGGAAGTGTCCCGGACCAACCGAGAGCTGCGACAGAAACTTGCAGAGCTAGAAAAAATACTAGAAAGTAACAAGGAGAAAATAAAGAATCAAAAGACCCAAATTAAGCTCCACTTGTCAGCTAAGGCGAATAATGCTCAGAATATAGAAAGGATGAAGGTTGTATGGGAAACCTCTTCTCACTTCCTGGATACCCTGTGAGGATGTAGTCAGTCAATGGTGTCTAGGGAAGACAGGTTTTAGAACCCTAGCAGCCCCATGTATTCTCTGGGAATTATAGCCAGTTGTCTTTGGGGAGACTTTTTCAGTGGAGTCACTGCTGTGTAAATGTTTGATTTCTCATTTGCTGCCAGTGTCACATTCCGGCTCCCTATCTGTCCCTTCCGTGTTGATTGTACTGGACTTTGCTCTTTTGGGATCAGTGGGCTAGATGGGAAAGAAAGCTCAGCAGGAACTGGTAACTTTGGGTCTCATATTGGATTCTTTCTGTCATCCTATAGGCAAAAAGAGCAAGCCAGTTTTTCCACTGATCATCTTTTTATGTTATTTTCCAATTACTTTTAGCAAATAGAAAAAGAATTGAAGCAAATGGAGCTAATTAAGGATCAATATCAGAAAAAGAACTATGAACAGGTAGATGATTTCCATATACTCTGTGTTTACCTTTCATGCAAAATCTCAAACTTGGAGGGTGTTCACCAAATGTCTCTGTCTTTGTATCCTTCCAGTCTTTGAGTATCCAGAGATTTGTGTGTGAAATGACTAACCTGCAGAAAGAGATGCAGATGTTGGCTAAGAGCCAATATGATGCCTCAGTGCGGAATAAACAGCAAGAGCTGCACCTAGAAGCAGAGCGGAAAATAAGGCAGGAGCTAGAGAATCGGTGCCAGGTAAAAGGTTTCCTAAGATTCATCTTAAAGATGGTCAGCAAATGACATGTGCCAAAGCCCAGTAGTTTTGCACCTAGACTTTCTAGAGTCTACAGAAGACAACACACATTTACAAATTGTTTATCTTAGCTAAGTCCTTAGAATAATAGTATCTAGGAAGAAGGCTGTAGTTTGAATATGGCAAATGTTCTCCATTTTCAGTTTAATAAAAGTAATGTCAATTTTTAAAGAACAGCTAGAGCTTACATATGCAAAGTATCAGTTACTAAGTAAGACTTCTGAACTGAATTTCATAGCCTTTCAGGAACTTTGTACACCTCGTTTCTTCTAGCACAGATACACCTGTTGCTATTACAGGACTCTTAGGTATTCCTAAATGAATAAAAAGCATAACGTCTTATCACTGAAAAGGGACTTCAAGAGATCACTGAGCTCTTGTCTTTCAGTAGGGTTTGTCATGAGAAGTATCTCTCCAGTTCTGAAAAGAGATATTAATCACTGTCCTCAACAGACTCCATAAATAAAAAATCAAAATGTGTAATCATATCCACATATGTAGATATGCAGACTATAGGTTAAGCTGAAAATAACAGTTTTTATCTCATATGTCAGTAGCACCTGAAGTTAGAAGGCACTCCATCCTATTTTCATATTTAGTTGCCCATTTATTATAACAGTGAAGCATTTGGTTTCTTATGGTATGTTGGAAGTTTATAAAAATCTTTGTATCACATTTTCAGGAATTGGAAGAAACTGTCAGACACCTGAAGAAATGTAAAGAGGCAACAGAGAATACGCTGAAAGAAGCCAGTGTGGAATCAGAACAGGTGAGCCAGACCCACGGACATAAAGACTTAGACGTTTCCTTCAACACAGCAACCCTGAAGCAACCCAAGTCAATGTGAAATCCTTCATTAACGTAGTTGTCAGGAATGCAACAGGGAAGAACGAGTAACTTCCTAAGTGTAGTCTCTATTGTAGAGAAGAAGTGATTTTTAGATTAAGAGTCTGTGTCCAGATGACAGATGATATATAACAGAATGCTAAAATATTAAACCTGAAGTCCAAATCTCCCTATTAAATATAAGGAAAGACCAGCATGTGTGTGGATTTTAATGCATTATTATTTGACATGACCCTACTGAAAGTGGATGCTCTTTGTTCAATCAATCAATAACTAAAAAAGTAAAGTAGACCCTATTTAACTAATTGTGAATTTTCTTTCTCTATTCTAAACTTAAATTAGCCTTTTGGGGGGTATTTCAAATCATACTTTTTTTTTTTTTTTTTCCAAGACAGGGTCTCACTCTGTCACCAGGCTGGAGTGCATGGCATAATCTTGGCTCACTGCAATCTCCGCCTCCCAGGCTCAAATGATCCTCCCACTTGAGCCTCCCAAGTAGCCAAGTAGCTGGGCATGGTGGTGCACCATGCCCAGCTAATTTTTGGTAGAGATGAGGTTCCACTGTGTTGCCAGGCTGGTCTCAAACTCCTGGACTCAAGTGATCCACCAGCCTTGGCCTCCCAAAGTGCTGTGATTCCAGGTGTGAACCACCACACCTGGCCCATGAACTACTACATTCTTAAGAGTCTTTTGTGCATTTTTTTCATTTTCAAAGCCATCTTTTACCTTCATTCTTAATTTTCTCCTGGGTCCTCTCTTACATTACTTCACATCCAAGAAACATTAACAAATGCATGAAAAGCAGCAAGTCTGCATGCATTCTTTAACCCCTCACTCAGAAATTACTCGCATGTATAGGATGTTAAGTATATTATGCAAATAGGTTGTGAAGAACAAGCAGTCAGAATTTGGGTCTTTTAATTTCTAAGTAAAAAATCTCTGCAACTAATACACAAAAAAACTTGTAACTCTTTCTTTGTGTCTTTTAATGGTGATATTTATATGTTCAGATAACAGCTAATCTGGAAGAAGCTCATCGCTGGTTTAAGCACAGGTTTGATGGTCTACAACTTGAGCTGACAAAAAACCGGTTGCAGAGGCCTTCTGGGGAAGACAGGTGGCAGGAAAAGGTAAGATTAAGACATGGATGTCTTAAGCAATTTTCTACTTGTTGCTTCTCAGATTTCTAATTACCGAAGTTCTCTCATCATCTCGATACTCTCTCTTTTAATCTTTAGTTTCTTTAGACTAATGCTAGGAAACCAATTAATTTCTTTTTTTTACAAAGTTCCACCTGTCACAAACTTTTTAGATTAGAATCACTTGTCTTCATGAATAGATGACATGTGTAGAGGCAAAACAGGTGCAGATTGCTGCAGTTAGCTCTGAACAGTCAGTGTTAGGTGTGTTTTCTTTCCAACAGGACCAAGATGTAAAACATGATGTCATGTCCAACCAATCTGTTCTGCATCGATGGGAGAGAAAACAGAATCTTAGGCCCATGCCCAAGAAGTATCATTCTGAGGTACAGAGGAAGTGATGTCCTTGACAAGGGAGCTTCTTTATGTGTAGCTACACTCCATGATTCCAAGAGCCCAGCAGCCGGGGCTGGCCTGTTTCTAGAGTCATAAGAACATGAAGTCTTTGATGTGGGCTGAAGATTTTGGACCTGAGTTTATCACTTTATGAACTCTTATATCAGTACAAAACTACCCCTTTTTTTGTCCCTTTTCACATTTTCCACCCAATAAATTTGTGTTAATTTGTTGTATGATAGGAGATGGTGTTGCATAATTCTTGTCTGTTTTTCTAATAAGTATATTTTATGAAAAGGCTTTTAGCAAGTTCTAAATGATATTGCTACTAAACGATATATTTTGTTTCAATGAAATGTGCCACTCTAACATGCAGTAGATAATCCCTGGTAATAGAATTGTGTGAAAAATGGTAAAGACTCCTCTACTGTCTTGTAAATTTATGCACTTCTATGTTGGGTAATTACCAGCATATCTTTTAAAGACTAATATCTCTATTCTCAAATAAGGCATTTCAGAGATTATATTTACAGCTTCCTTGGTCATTAAAAAAGTTATAGAATGCAGCAGTCTGTTCTTCTCAGGGAGACTATGCCTGACCAACATAGCTCTTCCTTACTATAGTTAAGCAATAAGCTCATCTTCATCTTTTTATTTCAGATGTTGAGTGGTGGATTAGGTAATCCAGATTTAACATATGTAAATGGCTGGCATAAGACCTGACTTAATTAATACTCAAGTAATCATAGCTGCTGCTGATATTATCAGGACCTAAATCAAGTAAGCAATCATGAAATTGGAAATAATATCAATTATAAGACTGTCAAAGGTTGATGAGCCTACTACTCAATATCTGATAGAAAAAAACACAGCTGAATTTATCACTTACTATATAGTAAGGGAGAAGTGTTGTTCAGGCATAGTCCTCCTTGAGCAGAGCAGACTGTTAATCTCGTAGGTTTTTTGGGAATATGAAATTCATATTGACACCTATAGGACTGTAGTTACTGGAGTGAGACTGTTGTTCATTGATTCACATTCAGAAGCATGTTAATTGGAGTGGGTCCATTTCTGTTTGTTTGACTTTAGGAATAAAGGACTCTTGCTAGTTTTCAGGCCTGTAAAAGCATGTACAAAAAGGCAAGTTGGCCGGGTGAGGTGGCTCATGCCTGTAATCCCAGCACTTTGGGAGGCCAAGGCAAGCAGATCACTTGAGGCCAGGAGTTCGAGATCAGCCTGGCCAACATGGGGAAACCCTATCTCTATCAAAAATACAAAAGTTAGCCAGGTGTGGTGGTGCACACCTGTAGTCCTAGCTACTTGGGAGGCTGAGGCACAAGAATCGCTTGAACCCAGGAGGTGGAGGTAGTAGTGAGCCAAGATCATGCCACTGCACTCCAGCCTGGGCAACAGAGTGAAACTGTCTCAAAAAAAAAAAAAAAAAAAGAAAGTTGTCACTGAGCTAATGGACAAGTTAAAAACTGGTAGTTAAAAACTAGCCGCTTGTTCTTGTGGCTTCCAAACAATCAATCTCAATCTGTTTTTGGGAGGATGTAAACATTTTATTCTTTGTGCCCCCTTTTGGTCCTCTATCATATGTTAGGACAGTGGCTCTGTAGAAGCATTTGAGACTGAACAATAGACATCAACTATTTTGTTAACCTAGGTACAATATGAAGTGTTAGCACTGGTGCACACACCTCTCTGGTTGGGAAAAGAAAATAATTCATGGCTATTTTATTACCTATAACTACCTTGGTTCTATGGTTTGAATGTGTCCCCTCCAAAATTCATGTTGAAACTTAATTCTTACTGTGGTAGTATTAAGTGGAGGGCCTTTAGGGCCTCTGGGGAAGTGGTATTAAGTGGGGGGCCTTTGGGGCTCTGCCCTCATGAATGGAGTAGTGCCTCATTAAAGGGCTGGAGGGAACTAGCTTGGGCCATTTTGCCCTTCTGCCTTCCACCATGTGAGGACACAGCATTCAGCCCCTCTGGAGGAAACAGCAACAAGGTGCCATCTTAGAAATAGGGAACGGGATCCTCACTTGACATGAAATTTGCAAGCACCTTGATCTTGGACTTCCCAGCCTCCCAAACTGTAAGAAGTAAATGTCTGTTCTTTATAAATTACTCAGTCTCAACTGTTTTGTTATAGCAGCAGAGACAGACTAAGAAGACGCCTGGTTATGAAAAATTTAAGTTGTTTGCTGTGTCTCCAAGGGTTGGGCTGTGTTATTTACTGGGTCAGCTAAAGTGAAAGAACACATTTTTTATGGTCTCCTCAAGTTGTCAAACTCCTATGGGATAGGTCACTATCCATAGGAGTTGATATGGTTTGGCTCTGTGTCCCCACCCAAATCTCATGTTGAATTGTAATTCCCAGTGTTGGAGGAGGAGGGGCCTGGTGGAAGGTGATTGGATTATGGGGGCAGTTTTCTCCCTTGCTGTTCTTGTGATAGTGGGTGACTTCTCACAAGATCTGGTTGTTTAAAAGTGTGTAGAATCTCCCTGTTCACTTGTTCTCTCCTACTGCCATGTGAAGATGTGCTTGCTTCCCCTTTGCCCTTCTGCCATGATTATAAGTTTCCTGAGGCCTCCCCAGCCAATGCCTACTGTACAGCCTGTGGAACTGTGAGTCAATTAAGCCTCTTTATAAATTACCCAGTCTCAGGTAGTTCTGTATAGCAGTGTGAGAATGGACTAACACAGGAGTCTCCCCAAAAAGGGATTTATCCCTTTGGGCTCTTTATAAAGATATATAGTCAATTGAGGGTATTGGGGAATTATAACCTTAAAACAGCCTAACCAGGAGCCCCCCAGAATAATTAACCTTGGTCCAGGGTTGGCACTGAAAACCTCGGTGCTGAATTCCACAAAGGAAAAGGATCCCAGTTACTACACAAGGGAGATGATCAACCTTAATGGATTGTAAATGTATTACCGCTTATGTTGTCATGACAGTCACAGTTATATGCCAAGAATATTTATATCCTCCTTTTCCAGAACAAGGACTTTTTTCTTCACTTATGTATTGTCCTCAAAGGGTATCATTATTGATAAAGTTAATCTAACATACCTTTATGTTATTTTTAGATTGGCTATACTAGATTGGGGGAAAGACATAATTAGATTGATGATCATTTCTAGTAAAGCTTGTATTTGTTATGAGGCATATGATAGCTAAATCACAACTATATAAGCTTAAACCAGTAAAGAGAGGAGTATGACCAACAGAATAACAGACAAAGGTATGTTAAGAGAATGTGACAGAAGAATCTTGTTTGGATGGTCTTAGGCCAAAGCTGCCTGTTTTGTGTGGTTATCTGCTTGTTCTGAGGCTTTTGGGTTGGCAGTCAATTTCTGCAGATCATTTGCTTCTGAAAGCCCTTCACAGAACTTTGGAATCTCTAATGGGTATAACTTTCTGATTCTATTAAGACCTTTTCTGTTTTTCCAGAGGATTGAAGTGATATGAGCAATAAGGGTTCATTTAAAAAGCAAAGCTTGTATAATTCAAATCATGAAAAACCATTCCAGCTTAATGTGTCCCTGTATTATTAGATAGATGTAATATCCTTGGTGGGAAACACAAACTCGAATCCTTTTTTAGCCATTTTAAGTGCTAGCTTTTTGACAAGGGAATGTTTCCATTCATCCAGAAAATAAATATACCATTATTACTGTATATAACACACACAGAATCAAGTAGTTATATACAATCCATTTGGATGTACTCAAAGAGTCTTTTAGGGTATGGTTCTAGTTCATACCCCACCTTTATAATTTTTCCAAATTAATTTCATTACAGATGAAACATTATCTGGCCACATCCTTTGCCATGCTAAAAAAGTTTCTATCAGTGATTAATATTGTGGCAAATTTTTTCGTTCTGTGATAGGTTGTTTTATAGAGGATTTTAGCAAGTGTCTATTTGAAGGTGTTTTTTTTTTTCTCTTATTTTAAGTTCAGGGGTACATGTGCAGAGTGTGCAGGTTTGTTACATAGGTAAACATGTGCCATGGTGGTTTGCTGCACAGATCATCCCATCACCTAGGTATTAAGCCCAGCATCCATGAGCTATTCTTCCTGATGCTGTTTCTCCCCCTACCCTGCCCCCTATAGGTCCCAGTGTGTGTTGTTGCCACTCATGTGTCTATGTGTTCTTATCATTCAGCTCCCACTTATAAGTGAGAACACATGGTGTTTGGTTTTCTGTTTCTGTGTCAGTTTGCAGAGGATAATGGCTTCCAACTTCATGTCCCTGCAAAGGACATGATCTTATTCCTTTTCATGGCTGCATAGTATTCCATGGTATATATGTACCACATTTTCTTTATAGTATAGATTGGCTATACTAGATTGGGAGAAAGACATAATTAGATTGATGATCATTTCTAGTAAAGCTTATATTTGTTATAAGAGGCATATGATAGCTAAATCACAACTATATAAGCTTAAACCAGTAAAGAGAGTTTACTCCTCTCTTTGATGGGCATTTAGGGTTAATTCCATGTATTTGCTATTGTGAATAGTGTTGCAGTGAACATACACGTGCATGAATCTTTATAACAGAATGATTTATATTCCTTTAGGTATGTTTCCAGTAATGGGATTGCTGGGTCAAATGGTATTTCTGCCTCTAGGTCTTTAAGGAATTGCCACACTCTCTTCCACAGTGGTTGAACTATTTACATTCCCACCAACAGTGTAAATGCTTTCCTTTTTCTCCACCACCTTGCCAGCATCTGTTTTTTTTTTGTTTTTGTTTTTTTTTTTTTTTTTTTGACTGTTTCATAATAGCCATTCTGACTGGCATGAGATGATATCTCATTGTGGTTTGGATTTTCATTTCTTTTTTTTTTTTTTTGAGACGGAGTCTCACTCTGTGGCCCAGGCTGGAGTGCAGTGGCACAAACTCGGCTCACTGCAAGCTCCGCCTCCCGGGTTCATGCCATTCTCCTGCCTCAGCCTCCTGAGTAGCTGGGACTACAGGCGCCCACCACCACGCCCGGCTAATTTTTTTGTATTTTTTAGTAGAGATGGGGTTTCACTGTGTTAGCCAGGATGGTCTCGATCTCCTGACCTCATGGTCTGCCCGCCTCGGCCTCCCAATTCATTTCTTTAATGATCAGTGATGTTGACCTTTTTTCATATATTTGTTGGCCACATGTATGTCTTCTTTTGTGAAGTGTCTGTTCATGTCCTTTGCCCACTTTTTAATGAGGTTTTTTTTTCTTGTAAATTTAAGTTCCTTGTAGACTATGGATATTAGACCTTTGTTAGAAAGATTAGACAGCAAAAATTTTCTCCCATTCTGTAGGTTGTCTGTTCACTCTGATGATAGTTTCTTTTTCTGTGCAGAAGCTCTTTGGTTTAATTAGATCCCATTTGTTAATTTTTGCTTTTGTTGCAATTGCTTTTGGTGTTTTTGTTATGAAATCTTTGCCCGTGCCTGTGTCCTAAATGATATTGCCCAGATTTTCTGCTAGCATTTTTATAGTTTTGGGCTTTACATTTTAGTCTTTAATCCATTATGAGTTAATTTTGGTATATGGCTTAAGGAAGGGGTCCAGTTTCCATTTTTTACATATGGCTAGCCAGTTATCCCAGCACCATTTATTGAATAGGGAATCCTTTCCCCCATTGCTTGTTTTTGTCAGGTTTGTCAAAGATCAAATGGTTATAGGTGTGCGGTCTTATTTCTGAGTTCCCTATTCTATTCTGTTGGTCTATGTGTCTGTTCTGGTACCAGTACCATGCTGTTTTGGTTACTGTAACTTTGTAGTATAGGTGGAAGTTAGGTAGTGTGATGGTCCAGCATTGTTGTTGTTGCTTAGGATTGTCTTGGCTATTCAGGCTCTTTTTTGGTCCCATATGAATTTTAAAGTAGTTTTTTCTAATTCTGTGAAGACCATCAATGGTAGTTTAATGAGCATAGCATTGAATCTATAAATTACTTTGGGCAGTATGGCCATTTTCACAATGTTGATTCTTCCTATCCATGAGCATGGAATGTTTTTCCGTTTGTGTCTTCTCTGATTTCTTTGAGCAGTGGTTTGTAGTTCTGCTTGAAGAGGTCCTTCACTTCCCTTGTCAGCAGTATTCCTAGGTATTTTATTCCTTTTATAGCAATTGTGAATGGGAGTTTATTTGTGATTTGGCTCTCTGCCTGCCTGTTGGGGTATAGGAATGCTAGTGATTTTTGCACATTAATTTTGTATCCTGAGACTGCTGATGTTGCTTATCAACTTAAAAAGCTTTTGGGCTGAGACGATGGGGTTTTCTAGATATAGAATCATGTCATCTTCAAAGATAATTTGACTTCCTCTCTTCGTATTTCTTCCTCTTGCCTGATTGCCCTGGCCACAACTTCCAACATTGTGTGGAATGGGGTGGTGAGAGAGGGCATTCCTGTCTTGTGGCAGTTTTCAAGGGGAATTCTTCCAGCTTCTGCCCATTCAGTATGATGTTGGCTGTGGGTTTGTCATAGACGGCTCTTATTATTTCAAGATATGTTCCTTCAATACCTTGTTTATTGAGCATTTTTAACATGAAGGGATGTTGAATTTAATTGAAGGCCTTTTCTGCGTCTATTGAGATAATGTGATTTTTGTCTTTAGTTCTGTTTATGTGGTGAGTCACATTTACTGATTTGCATGTGTTGAACCAACCTTGCATCCCGGGGATGAAGCCAACTTGATCGTGGTAGATAAGCTTTTCGATGTGCTACTGGATTTGGTTTGCCAGTGTTTTCTTCAGGATTTTTGCATTGATGTTCATCAAGGATATTGGCTTGGAGTTTTCTTTTTTTGTTGTATCTCTGCCAGGTTTTGGTTTCAGAATAATGCTGGCCTCATTTGATGAGTTAGGGAGGAGTCCCTCCTTTTCAATTTTCGGGAATCATTTCAGTAGAAATCGTAGCAGCTCTTCTTTGTACCTTTGGTAGAATTCACTGTGAATCTATCTGGTCCTGGGCTTTTTTTGGTTGGTAGGCTATTTATTACTGCCTCAATTTCAGAACTTGTTATTGGTCTGTTCAAGAATTCAATTTCTTCCTGGTTCAATCTTGGGAAGGTGTATATGTCCAGGAATTTATCTGTTTCTTCTAGATTTTCTAGTTTATATGCATAGAAATGTTTATAGTATTCTCTGATGGTTGTTGGTATTTCTGTGGGGTCAGTGGTAATATCCTCCTTACCATTTCTGATTGTATTTATTTGATTCTTCTCTCTTTTCTTCTTTAGTCTAACCAGCAGTCTATTTTTTCAAAAAACCAGCTCCTGGATTAATTGATTTTTTTTTGAAGGGTTTTTCATGTCTCTTTTCTCATTCAGTTCAGCTCTGATCTTAGTTATTTCTTATCTTCTGCTAGCTTTTGGGTTTGTTTGCTCTTGGTTCTCCAGTTCTTTTAGTTGTGATGTTAGGCTATTAACTTGAGATCTTTTTAATTTTTTTGATGTGGACATTTTAGTGCTATAAATTTCCCTCTTAACCTTGCTTTAGCTGAATCCCAGAGATTCTAGTATGTTGTATCTTTGTTCTCATTAGTTTCAAAGAACTTCTTGATTTCTGCCTTAATTTCATTATTTACCCATAGTCATTCAGGAGCAGGTTGTTCAATATCCATATTGTTGTGTGGTTTTAGGGGAATTTCTTAACCTTGAGTTCTAATTTGATTGTGCTGGGGTCAGAGATTTTGTTATGATTTCAGTTCTTTTGCATTTGCTGAGGAGTGTTTTACTTCCAATTATGTGTTCAATTTTAGAGTAAGTACCATGTGGCGATGAGTAGAATGTGTATTCTGTTGGTTTTGGGTGGAGAGTTCTGTAGATATCTTTCAGGTCCATTTGATCCAGAGCTGAGTTCAGGTCTCGAATATCTGTGTTAATTTTGTGTCTCAGTGATCTACTATTGTCAGTGGGGTGTTAAAGTCTCCCACTATTATTTTGTGGGAGTCTAAGTCTCTTTGTAGGTCCCTAGGAACTTGTTTTATGAATCTGGGTGCTCCTGGATTGGGTGCATATATGTTTTGGATAGTTGGCTCTTCTTATTGAATTGAACCCTTTACTATTATATAATGCCCCTCTTTATCTTTTTTGATGTTTGTTGGTTTAAAGTCTGTTTTGTCAGAAACTAGGGTTACGACCCCTGCTGTTTTCCATTTGCTTGGTAAATGTTCCTCTATCCCCTTATTTTGAACCTATGTCTCTTTTCTCATTCAGTTCAGCTCTGATCTTAGTTATTTCTTATCTTCTGCTAGCTTTTGGGTTTGTTTGCTCTTGGTTCTCCAGTTCTTTTAGTTGTGATGTTAGGCTATTAACTTGAGATCTTTTAAATTTTTTTGATGTGGACATTTTGTTTGTTTTTGGTTTTGGTTTTTGGTTTTTTGAGATGGTGTCTTGCTCTGTTGTCCAGGCTAGAGTGCAGTGGTGCCATCTTAGCTCACTGCAACCTCCACCACCTGGCTTCAAGCAATTCTCCTGCCTCAGCCTCCCGAGTAGCTGGGATTACAAGCACCTGCCACCATGCCCAGCTAAGTTTTTTGTATTTTTAGTAGAGATGAGGTTTCACCATATTGGCCAGGCTGGTTTCAAACTCCTGACCTCAACCTATTTGTGTTTTTGAATGTGAGATGGGTCTGTTGAAGACAGCATACTAATGAGTCTTGGCTGATTATCTGGCTTGCCATTCTATGTCTTTAATTGGGGCATTTAGTCCATTTACATTTAAGATTATTATTGTTATGTGTGAATTTGATCCTGTCATCATGATGCTAGCTGGTTATTTTACAGACTTGTTTATGTTGTTGCTTCATAGTGTCACTGGTCTGTGCACTTCAGTGTGCTTTTTTACTGGCTGGTAATGATTCCTTTCCATATTTAATGCTTCCTTATGGAGCTTTTGCAAGACAGGCCTGGTGGTGATGAATTCCCTCAGCATTTGCTTGTCTGAAAAGGATCTTATTTCTCCTTCACTTATAAAGCTTACTTTCGCAGGATATGAAATTCTGAGTTGGAAATTCTAAACCCATTTATGCTGGAGGTTGCAAAATTTTTTGTGAAAAATCAAACCTTGGCAATGACCTTGGCAATGAGCAGTAGGATATAAGTAACTCCAACAAGCTTAGTGTTCCAGTAATGGAACACTAGGCATAAATGGGTTAAGAATGTTTAGTATTGGCCCCCAATCTCTTCTGGCCTGTAAGGCTTCCACTGAGAGGTCTGCTGTTAGTCTGATGGGCTTCCCTTTGTAGGTGACCTGGCCTTTCTCTCTGGCTGCCCTTAACTTTTTTTCCTTCATTTCAACCTTGGAGAATCTGATGATTAGGTGTCTTGGGGTTAATCTCATGAAGTATCTTACTGGGGTCCTCTACAGTTCCCGAATTTGAATGTTGGCCTGTTTTGTTCATTCCCTTTAACGATTTTTGTTTATTCTTGTCTGCCTGTCTCATTTCAGAAAGATAGTCTTCAAGCTCTGAGATTCTTTCCTCCACTTGGTCTGTTCTGCTGTTGATACTTGTGATTGCATTGTGAAGTTCTTCTGTTGTGTTTTTCAGCTCCATCAGGTCAGTTACGCTCCCCTCTAAACTGGCTATTCTGGCTGTCAGCTCTTATATTGTTTTATCATGATTCTTAGCTTCTTTGCATTGTATTAGAACAAGCTCCTTTAGCTCAGCGAACTTTGTTATTGCTCACCTTCTGACGACTACTTCTGTCAATTCAACCATTTCATCCTTAGCCCAGTTCTGTGCCCTTGCTGGAGAGGTGTTGCAGCCATCTGGGGGAGACAAGGCACTCTGGCTTTTTGAGTTTTCAGCGTTTTTGTGTTGATTCTTTCTCATCTTTGTGGGCTTATCTACCTTTGATCTTTGAGGTTGCTGAACTTTGAATTGGGTTTTTGTGGGGTCTTTTGTTGTCATTGTTGTTTTCTGTTCTTTTTTTCTTTTAACAGTCAGTCTACTGTTCCATAGGGCTGCTGTGGTTTGCTGGGGATCCACTCCAGATCCTAGTTGCCTCAGTTTTTCCCATACCTGGAGGTATCACCAATGAAGGCTATGAAATAGCAAAGATGGCAGCCTGTTCCTTCCTCTGGAAGCTTTGTCCCAGGGGGGTACTGACCTGTTGCCAGCTTGAACTGCACCTGTAGGAGGTGTTTGGAGATCCCTTTTGTGAAGAGTCACCCAGTCAAGAGGAACAGGATCACAGACCCACTTCTTAAAGAAGCAATCTGGCTGTTTTTTGGTAGTGCAGCTGTGCTCTGTTGTGGGGGACCCTTCCTCATTCAGACCATCTGGACTCTCCAGAGTCAGCAGACTGGAGCTGCTGAGTCGACTGGAGCTGCTGAGTCGACTGAATTGCAGAGATAGCAGCTGTCCCTGCCCCCAGCAACTCGGTCCTTCTCAGACCAACTTCAGCCTCTCACTGCTGGCTGGCTGGCTGGAATTCCAAGCCAGTGTGTCTTCACTTGTGAGGTGCCATGGAAGTGGGGCCCACAGAACAATGCTGTTTGGCTCCCTGGATTCAGACCCCTTCCTAGGGATATGTACTGACGGATCATCCCCCTTGCCGGGATCCTGGGGCCAGAGTATGCAGAACTCCTGGGTCTCTGTGTGTGCCCAAGTGACTGCTCTGCCAGGACACCACACAGCTCTGTATTGGTCACAAGGCCCTGTTGGCTTAGGGTTACAAGGGGATCTCCTGATCTGCTGGTTGCAGAGATCTATGGATGGTTTCCCAGACGGGATCGCACACTCACTCACTGCTTCCCTTGGCTGGGGGTGGGGTTTCCTTTGGCTCCCTGCTGCTCCTGGGTGAGCCGTCACCCTACCCTGCTTTTCTTCATTCTCCAAGGGTCGAGCTGGTTGCCTAGTCAGTCCCAGTGCAAGAACCTGGATATTTCAGTTGAAGGGGCTGAATTCACTCACTGCCTTCATTCCTTTCCATGAGCGCCGCAGACCGCAGCTGCTTCTAACTGGCTATCTTGCCCCCACCCCCACCCCCTCCCACCCCCCACCCCCACCCCCACTCCATCCTCTGCCATTTGAAGTTTTATCTTGTGCTACGGAGTGGCCATTCTAGTTTCACTAGATCTTATCAAGGATCTTACAAACCAATCATTCTTAGTGTTTCTTTACAGAATTTGGCAGTGGGGAAAATTTAGTGTATTTAAGAGGGATTCCTTGAATTCTTCCATAGATTGGTTATTTGGGGTTTTTCTTTTTGTATAAGGTGTCTTTATGTAAGGACTTTTGTTAGACAGCCTGTTTAGTATGTTGATTTGCTAATGTATTTCTATGATATATTTAAAGTGTTTCTGTGTTATGTTTATAGTGTCTATAATATGATATACTCACTTCCATTGTGGGCTTCTACTTTTATGACAGCAGTAGGTTCAAAGCATTATCAAGGCATCAACTAATTCATGTTTGTTGTTCATTTTTAAAGGATAGTTGAAGCTAAGAAATGTCTTTGTTTCTTTTTTTTTTTTTTGAAAAATTAAGAACTGACTTTAATTCCATCTTAGCAATAACTGATAGTTAAATACATTTAATAACTGAGTATGTTTCTGGGAAGAAAGTCACTGGTAGCTTGATGGGGATGGCATTGAATCTATAAGTTACCTTGGGCAGTATGGCCATTCTCACGATATTGATTCTTCCTATCCATGAGCATGGAATGTTCTTCCATTTGTTTGTGTCCTCTTTTATTTCGTTGAGCAGTGGTTTGTAGTTCTCCTTGAAGAGGTCCTTCACATCCCTTGTAAGTTGGATTCCTAGGTATTTTATTCTCTTTGAAGCAATTGTGAATGGGAGTTCACTATGATTTGGCTCTCTGTCTGTTATTGGTGTATAAGAATGCTTGTGATTTTTGCACATTGATTTTGTATCCTGAGACTTTGCTGAAATTGCTTATCAGCTAAAGGAGATTTTGGGCTGAGACGGTGGGGTTTTCTAGATATACAATCATGTCATCTGCAAACAGGGACAATTTGACTTCCTCTTTTCCTTTTTAAATGTCTTTGTTTCTCTAGCATTTCAAAGGAGTGAATTATTCTAAAAGTATTGTAGATACTAGAACATATATTCATTCTTTATTTTCACAATTTTTCATGCCTTACGAAGGCCACAGTTTAGTCATTGAAACAATTTGGGTCCTGGTAAGGAATTAAATTCCTTAATAGACATTTGTTGACATTATATAAGCAGCCTGATTTGTCCCTTTTTTTAAAAAATATAAGATTCATCAACAAACAATAAGAAGTCAGAATTTGGTATTGAAGTGTGCATATGTTCTGTTCAGGACATGAATACGCACTTGAATTACTGAAACGCTGTAATGAAATTCTCTTCCATTGAGTAAGAAATATAAAATTGCTGTGTTAAGGCTATTAAGCCAGGACTTCTGCTTCTGACCACGATAGGGTTTCAGGGACCAGATTATCCTCCCACCTAAAGCAACCAAAAAACAGACAAATATAGAGACGTTGGTTTTTAAGAACACTGGAAGTCATGCAGTAAGAAACAGTGATCCTTGAGAGAAAGGGAGCAAATGAGGTGAGCCCTAAAACTGCCCCAGTGTATTGAGAAGGAATCAAGGTAGAGCCCAGCAGGTCCCCTGAGTTAAGAGCCAGAGCTGAGATTCCAAAGAGACAGAAGTAGCTAGAGTACCAGGACAGAGACCAGAAAGGAGAGCTGGACAGAGGGGACATATTCAGACATCTGCAGAGGTTCTCTTAGAGTATTCAGAGGCTTTCTTGTCAGCACACACATGTGAGGAAACCATCTAAGGCTGGAGAAAGAATTATCCACAAGGGTTAGCGGTAATGAAACCTGGTACAAAAATATAGTGCCAGTTCCCACCTGCCAGAATTGGAAACCTCATTGGGTAGAGTATACAAAAGGATCTTATCTCAGTGGCAGAGAACTGTTAGCCGTCAGTGTACACTACTGTGGTCTCACCTAATGAATCTTAACCCCAAATGATCTGTTTCCAATTAACTGTGTCCAGGACAAGGCTTAAGAATATTTACAGGAACACTAAAATATATGGCATTCGTCAAGGTAAAATCACAATGTCTGGCATCCAATCCATAACTATCAGGCATGCGAAGAAGCAGGAAAATATGGCCCATAAAGAGAAATCAATCAAAATTGACCCAGTACTAACACAGATGTTAGAATTAGTAAACACAGACATTATCATTATAACTGTATTCTGTATGTTCAAAGTATTATGCCAGTGGATGGTATTATGAGAAAGATACAGTCATATGTTGCTTAATGGCAGGGATATGTTCTGAGAAATGTGTCCTTAGGTAATTTTGTCATTGGGCACATACCACAGTATGTACTCACACAAACTAGATGGTGTAGCCTACTACACACCTAGCTGTATAGCATATTCTATTGCTCTTAGGCTACAAAGCTGTTACTGTACTGAGTACTGTAGGCAGTTGTTATGCAATGGTATTTGTGTATCTAAACATGTAAAAGGTACAGTAGAAATACAGTATTGTATCTAATGGGACCACAGTCATATATGCAGTCTGTCATTGAATGAAATGTCATCATGCAGCACATGTCTGTAGTGACAATAATTCATAATTATGTAATTAGTAGAAAAATGATGAGTGGCTTTTTTTTTTAGCAATACAGATTTATTTACCACATGGTAACAACAGATTTCTTAAAAATCTTAATTAGGATATTGATCCTAATACAAGATTTGTAGATGCTTTGACTAATTTTTTGAGTGAACTCATTGTTCTGAGGAAAGGAGGCTAAGCCATGGCCACTGAATTAAGGGATAGGCAGTGCTTCTTCTAAGTGTGTTCAATTAACACCCCTAGAGCATGGCCTAACATTTTCATGTTTGTACAAAAAGAGATTTATGAAAATCTAGGAAGAATCCATCTGTACTGTAATTGACTTTGCTCCAGTTAATCTGTCTGTGGAGTCTTTTGCCCTTGTACCATAGCTATTTCTCTGGTAGTTGCTTGAGGTATTTAGTGAGATTAGTGGTATATTCTAATGTCAGCTATACTCTGATCATATGTAAGAGCTGGAGTATATATTATGAAATCTATAGGTGTCACAGAGAATATAAGGGTATTGTCCTGACAGTGATCCCAAAGTATCAGCTACAGATTGGGACTTAGTATTGTAATTTCTCATTTTTTTATTGTTTCTAGGAAACCAAAGCAAATAAAGTTCATTTCCCCTCAAGCTTCTATAATCATTATGCATTCTAAAATTCACCTTTTATCTTTTTCTATTATCTATTATCTGTCATAAACAGTTGAGTTTAAGACAAAATCTCTCATAAGTCAGTTTGCCTTTTTGCATTTTGGACAACTTTAAAATTCCTCTCTGAAGGATCCGATGTTCCATAGTGGTGGGATTAATTGTAGAGGACACTAAGATCAACAAGAATGCTATATTGTTCTACTTGGGAGTGTAGAGAAAGGAGAAGGAGTTGTTGTGAACTAATGTCTCCCTTGGAGTGGCATCATTAGGCAGGTTTTGGATAGGTATCCTTCAATTTCTGACCCAGTATTAGACCATTGTTCTTTCAGTGATCCTTTTACTTACACTATCTTCTCGTTTCTTCAATAGTCTTTCCATTCTTAACAGGAGACTTTCTGGTCTAGTTTTATGTCAGAGATCAGTTTTATATAAAGAACCATAAGTCCTATTGATTTCTAGATTGTATACTTTTTAAGGCTACCCAAAAACATTTGTTCACATATTAGATGTTTTCTAAAATAGTTTAATGTTTCAATTTACTTTTTTTCTTATGACACTCTGAAATTTAGATTTAGGCCCATTAATAAAAAGAGAGGATAAGGCTTTCTTTACTTAATCTGTTGGTTCTACCCCAGAATACTATATGAAAGAAGGGCAAAACTGCTAAGACATTTGCCAACTATTTAACATTTGGCATCGCTCTTCTCAAGAGCATTTATTCTGGCTCTTATCTGGTGATCAGTCATGTCATTGAGCAAAAGGGGCTTAAGTTGGCACTATACCATGTGATCCTGTGTTCCCTGCCTTGGACTTCTTTAGACAATAGAGACTTTATAAATCACTTTCTAATTGTAAGCCCTTTTATAAATGGTCAGAAACAATGTACAGTGTAGAGCAGACTAAAATAGACTATGGAATATTTTCTGTTTACCAACCTCAACAGAAAGACAGCTTTGCTTTTTTTTTTTTTTTTTTTTTTTTTGTAGTTCTAATAATATTGAGTCTCATTGGACTGGTCATATGCCTACTGTCAACCAATCACTGTGACTTGAAAGATGGATTATGCACTGATGCTGGGTCTGGGTGCCATGTTCCATCTCTGAAACTGAGGATGGTTTCCCAAAGCAAATCAAGGTGATGTTCTCATAAGAAAGGGTAAATGGTGTTAGGTCAGACCAAAACCACAGATGTCCAACAGTCAAAAGATTGTAAGTAGAGAAAATACACCAAGGTGGTCACTATTGAATTTTATTAATGCTGCAGCCAGAGAGCTCTGAGCTTGTGCTGGGTTATTCTTTTATACTGACACCCCTTTTTCTTTAGAGCATTTATATAAGATACCCACAAGCTGTCAAGTTCTTCCTGAAGTTTTTAAAAACTGATTCTTTAATAACCTAAATATAGGAACCTCCAGGTAGCTAGACAATGGCAGCTGCATAGCTACCTACCTCTCAGTATTTCCTCCACCAGCAATATGCAACAAGACAGGAAAAGTCAGTTCTACATAAAAAACACACCCTCAGCATAATTTGAAGATGGACAATGCCAAATCTTCAAAATATCCAAGTAAAAAGAGAAAAATCACCAAACCCCTCTCCACACTCTGTCATATGAGTATTTCTGCGCAACCCTCACCTCACCACAAAGTAGCAAACAAAGGCAGAGCAAGAAAAACTGTAGGGACTACAGAAAAAGGAAGCTAGTGCGGGGGTCCAAGGTTGATCTGAAACTACCACCACAAAGACTAAATGGACCCTAAGTCTGGAAATACTCAAAAAAAAAAAAAAAGTGTCCAGGCAGATGACAGCATGAACTACAGGGAAGGAACTTTAGGATACATAGGATTTAAAGATGCAGGCATGTTTAAAGGCAAAGGGCATAGCTTCTGAAAAGGCAAAAAGAAAGGGAGAAAGCCCCTTTTGGCAATTGGATTGTTAAAAAGAAAGGAAAAAAAGGAAAGGAAAAGAGGGCTTAGCAAGAAAAAAGAGAAGCATAAAATCAAAGGACTCAGAACCCTTCCCACAATCATCAACACACACACACACACACACACACACACACACACACACACACACACTCTCTCTCTCTCTCTCTCTCACCTGGAAAAACACCTGGACTTTGCACACACCTGGACTTTGCTACATTCACAGAAGAGGACATGACAAACTAGAAATATTGATAAACAGCCCAATACCACAAACAGGAGCAAGAGGAAAGTTCATACAGAGCTACTGCCAGAAATCAAGAAATGAAATTCCCTTATATCAAATTAGGAAAAAATTCCCCAATAAACAATTACAAAGGAGAAGAAACTGAAAGTGAACACTTCAAACAAATATATTCAGACAAACTTTGAGGATATGAAAAAACATTGTGAAACAAATTCAAAAACAGGATGTGGACAGAAGTGGACAGAAATCAGAGATAAAAGCAAGAGTCATTGAAAAAGCCAGGAAAACAACCAAGAAAATGAAAATGACAAAAGAAGAAATAAAAAAGATTAGAGAAAAAGTAATGGAATGGAAAACTGTAATATTTATGTTATTGAGGAAGAAAATTAAGTTAACAGAGGTTATTTTTAAAACTATAATCCAAGAGCACTTTCAAAAATACAAGAAAAAAATCAATCTATAAACTTAAAGTGTTTAACAAGTATTAGGTTGGGGTGCAAAAGTAGTTGCAGTTTTGCAATTAAAAGTAATGGCAGGCTGGCACGGTGGCTCACGCCTGTAATCCCAGCATTTTGGGAGGCCGAGGCGGGTGGATCATCTGAGGTCGGGAGTTTGAGACCAGCCTAACCAATATGGTGAAACCCTGTCTCTACTAAAAATACAAAAAAGTAGCCGGGCGTGGTGGCAGGCACCTGTAGTCCCAGCTACTCAGGAGGCTGAGACAGGAGAACTGCTTGAACCTGGGAGGCGGAGGTTGCAGTGAGCCGAGATCATGCCACTGCACTCCAGCCTGGGTGACAAAGAGGGACTCCGTCTCAAAAAAAAAAAAAAGAAAAATAATGGCAAAAACTGCAATTACTTTTGCACCAACCTAATACTTGGGAAAAATTGAATGATCAACTTTGAGACACATTCTAATAAAAGTATTAAATTTCTTTTTTTTTTTTTTTTTTTTTTTTTTTTGAGACGGAGTCTCGCTCTGTCGCCCAGGTCGGACTGCGGACTGCAGTGGCGCAATCTCGGCTCACTGCAAGCTCCGCTTCCCGGGTTCACGCCATTCTCCTGCCTCAGCCTCCCGAGTAGCTGGGACTACAGGCGCCCGCCACCGCGCCCGGCTAATTTTTTGTATTTTTAGTAGAGACGGGGTTTCACCTTGTTAGCCAGGATGGTCTCGATCTCCTGACCTCATGATCCACCCGCCTCGGCCTCCCAAAGTGCTGGGATTACAGGCGTGAGCCACCGCGCCCGGCCAAAAGTATTAAATTTCAAAGACAAAATATCCTCAAGGTCAGAAGACCAAAAGATCAAAAGAATTTACAAAGGCAAAAGACTGTCAGACATTGAGAAACCAATACAGTTAGCAAGGTGACAAGGAAGTGGTGTGGTTGGCAGGATTCTAAGAGAGGCCCCAGGATTCTGTGCCCACTGGTGAACATGCCTGCATCATCCCTAGACTGTGAAAGTGATGGATTTTACTCCCGTAATTAGATCGTATGTCACAGTTAATTTTAAGAAAGGGAGATTATCCTGGCGGGCCTGACCTAATCACATAATCCCTTTAACAGCAATTTTCTCCAGATGCTTGAAGAAGAGAAAGAGATTTAAAGCACAAGAAGGGTTTCATGTGCCCTTGCTGGCTTGAAGAGGAAGAAGCCACGTATGCAGGTGGCCTCTAGCAGCTGAGAGTGGCCCCTGACTGAAAGTCAGCAAGAAAGCAGAGACCTCAGTCCCAAAACTGCACCCACCTGAAGGAGCTTGGCAGCACATTCCTTCCCTGAAGTTGCTTTAGGGCTTGGAGCCAAGTGGAGATGGAGCTGAATGTTGAGTAGAGTTGACCTGGCTCAGTCTGGGCCACCAGTCCATTTCCTGACAGCCCCTCAGCACTTCTGTACCTTTTCCAGCACCCAAAAAGGGTGCCTTGGGGCAGGTAGAATCTACCACCAATAATAATGATTCCTGTCAAAGGAAACCCAAATAGGATTTCTCTCCCAGCCTAGGTGAGGCTTGTAAGTTTCTGATTTCTACTGCCTTTAATGTAGGTGCCAGCACCTCTTCCCACACCTTTAAAATCACTGCTGCCTCTACTGCTCCGAGGCATTGGAGTAGCTGAACAGAGCTATCCTATGTTGTTTCCTCTGATTCTCTAAAGTCTCAGCTTTGCCTCCTTCCATCAGAATCAAGAATCATCGTTTCTTTTGCCTCTTGAGCTGCCTGAAATGGCCTGCAGATGGCAGCACTCTTGACTCTTCTCCGCCTTCAGGGCTTTTGTAAACAGAAGTAAGTTCTTGACAAGCCCTAGCGGACAGACACCAAGTGAGAAGACTTCTGGCTTCCTGAGGAGACTAGGTTCATTTTTGTTTAAGGGAAAGCCGAAAGCTTGCTATAAAGCTTAGCCAAGCCCACAGGCCATGTACTCTTTTTGTACTTCTAATCCTGAAGTAATCTCAGAGAGCTTTGTAAATCCTTCACAATCCACCTCTGTCTCTTAGCCTCTGAGGCGCCCCCAGCTCCCACTTTCCCTGTTAGCTTTCCACATCCGCTATTTCAGTGGTCCTGTTTGTTCTCTATTTTGTTGGTCAGATGTAGATGGGGCTGGTCTGCTTTCTTCTGGGATCCTCCTAAGAACTCCACTCGACTTCCCTAGATCTTCCTTATTTTTCTAAACACAATCCAACTTTATTTTGAAGTTTCATGTTGGCCATAAAAGGGGAAAAAAATTGATAAACTTGATGATACTAAAATCTAAAACTTGAGTCTTAAAGACACCACAAATAAAGTGAAAAGTGACAAAGGCTTAATACTAGAATAAGAATGCCTATGATTCAATAAGAAATATGATCCAATTTTTTAAAAATTGGCAGAGAATCTCAAAAGCGATCCAGAGAAGAAAGAAAAATCCAAAAGGTTTATAAATATATGAAAAGATAGATTTCAACTTAACCAGTATGCAAATGAAACAATTATTTTTCACATATCTGTTGGGACAAAAATATGAAGTTTGAAGCAAGCGTGGGGAAACAGGTATCCTCACACAACTGATACAGCCATTTGGGAGGGCATCGTGGCAGCATGTACTGTGTTCAAATGCATGTACCCTACAATCCAGGAATTATGGCTATGTACACAAGGAGGCACGCAGTTTTTTTCTTTCTCCCCTGGAGAGGCTAACTTGGTTCCTACAGGTCCTGTGCATCCTAGGAGGAAAACTTTAGGCCTTTCCATGTAAATTATCTGCAAGACAAACAGACCTTTATATTGTTAACATTGACACTTGCAGCAGAACTTCAGTGTGTTAGCGCCTTACCATCTCTTTTCTCTCGGGCTTACCAGAGAGACCCTCTAGGAAAACAATGGGAATAGGAAGAGAAAAGATATTGAGGAGAGGGGGAAAAAACCTATCCTGTTACTTAGCAGCTGAAATTATCAAGATATTTTTGGCCTTTAAAAATTTCCTAGAGTTAATGTGAATTGTTTTTCACTCATTCCAAAGCTGGCTTTAGTCTGCAACTCGAAGGTAAACTTTTTCGTTTCGTGGCACACAGAATACACAGCACTATATGTAAGGTATGCTGAGATGAATGGTAAAGGCTGCTCTGGGATTTGCTGGCTTCCCCAAGGCCTGACAGGTGATCACACTTGCTCCCAGCACAAAGTTGGAGCACTGTCTTTTTTTTTAAAATACTTTAAGTTCTGGGGTACATGTGCAGAACATGCAGGTTTGTTACATAGGTATACATGTGCCATGGTGGTTTGCTGCACCCAGCAACCCATCATCTACATTATGTATTTCTCCTAATACTATCCCTCCCCTAGCCCCCTACTCCACAACAGGCCCAGGTGTGTGATGTTTCCCTCCATGTGTCCATATGTTATCATTGTTCAACTCCCACCTATGAGTGAGAACATGCAGTGTTTGGTTTTCTGTCCCTGTGATAGTTTGCTGAGAATGAAGGTTTCCAGCTTCATCCATGTCCCTGCAAAGGACATGAACTCATTTTTTTACGGCTGCATAGTATTCCATGGTGTATATGTGCCACATTTTCTTTATCCAGTCTATCATTGATGGGCATTTGGGTTGGTTCCAAGTCTTTGCTATTGCGAACAGTGCCACAGTAAACATACGTGTGCATATGTCTTTATAGTAGAATGATTTATAATCCTTTGGGTATCTACCCAGTAATGGGATTGCTGGGTCAAATGGTATTTCTGGTTCTAGATCCTTGAAGGAATCACCACACTGTCTTCCACAATGGTTGAACTAATTTACACTCCTACCAACAGCGTAAAAGTGTTACTATTTCTCCACATCCTCTCCAGCATCTGTTCTTTCCTGACTTTTTATTGATCGCTATTCTAACTGGCATGAGATGGTATCTCATTGTGGTTTTGATTTGCATTTCTCTAATAATGGTGATGATGAGCATTTTTTCATATGTTTGTTGGCTGCATAAATGCCTTCTTTTGAGAAGTGTCTGCTCATATCCTTCACCCAGGTTTTGATAGGGCTCTTTTTTTCTTGTAAATTTGTTTAAGTTCTTTGTAGATATTAGTGCTTTGTCAGATGGGTAGATTGCAAAAATTTTCTCCATTCTGTAGGTTGCCTGTTCACTCTGATGATAGTTTCTCTTGCTGTGCAGAAGCTCTTTAGTTTAATTAGATCCCATTTGTCTATTTTGGCTTTTGTTGCCATTGCTTTTGGTGTTTTAGCATGAAGTGTTTGCCCATGCCTGTGTCCTGAATGGTATTGCCTAGGTTTTCTTCTAGGGTTTTTATGGTTGTATGTCTTATGTTTAAGTCTTTAATCCATCTTCAGTTAATTTTTGTATAAGATGTAAGGATGTAAGGAAGGGATCCAGTTTCAGCTTTCTGCATATGGCTGGCCAGTTTTCCCGAAACCATTATATTAAATAGGGAATCCTCTCCCCATTGCTTGTTTTTGTCATGTTTGTCAAAGATCATATGGTTGTAGATGTGTGATGTTATTTCTGAGGTCTCTGTTCTGTTCCATTGGTCTATATATTTGTTTTGGTACCAGTACCATGCTGTTTTGGTTACTGTAGCCTTGTAGTATAGTTTGAAGTCAGGTAGCATGATGCCTTCAGCTTTGTTCATTTTGCTTAGGATTATCTTGGCAATGTGGGCTCTTTTTTGGTTCCATATGAAATTTAAAGTAGTTGTTTCCAATTCTGTGAAAAGTCAATGGTAGCTTGATGGGGATAGCATTGAATCTGTAAATTACTTTGGGAAGTATGACCATTTTCATGATATTGACTCTTCCTGTCCATGAGCATGGAATGTTTTTCTATTTGTTTGTGTTCTCTCTTATTTCCTTGAGCAGTGGCTGGTAGTTCTCCTTGAAGAGGTCCTTCATATCCCTTATAAGTTGTATTCCTAGGTATTCTATTCTCTTTGTAGCACTTGTGAATGGGAGTTCACTCATGATTTGGCTCTCTGTTTGTCTGTTATTGTGTATAGGAATGCTTGTGATTTTTACACATTGATTTTGAATCCTAAGACTTTGCTGAAGTTGCTTATCAGCTTAAGGAGATTTTGGGCTGAGATGATAGGGTTTTCTAAATATACAATCTTGTCATCTGCAAACAGAGACAATTTGACTTCCTCTTTTCCTAATTGAATATCCTTTATTTCTTTCTCTTGCCTGATTGCCCTGGCCAGAACTTCCAATACTATGTTGAATAGGAGTGGTGAGAGAGGGCATCTTTGTTTTTTGCTGGTTTTCAAATGGAATGCTTCCAGTTTTTGCCAATTCAGCATGATATTGGCTGTGGGTTTTTCATAAATAGCTCTTATTATTTTGAGATATGTTCCATCAATACCTAGTTTATTTAGAGTTTTTAGCATGAAGTGTTGTTGAATTTTGTCAAAGGCCTTTTCTGCATCTATTGAGATAATCATGTTGTGGTTTTTGTCATTGGTTCTGTTTATGTGATGGATTACGTTTATTGAATTGCATATGTTGATCCAGCCTTGCATCCCAGGGATGAAGCCCACTTGATCATGGTGGATAAGCTTTTTGATGTGCTGCTGGATTCGGTTTGCCAGTATTTTATTGAGGATTTTCACATCGATGTTCATCAGGGATATTGGCCTAAAATTTTCTTTTTTTGTTGTGTCTCTGCCAGGTTTTGGTATCAGGATGATGCTGGCCTCATAAAATGAGTTAGGGAAGATTCCCTCTTTTTCTATTGATTGGGACAGTTTCAGAAGGAATGGTACCAGCTCTTCTTTGTACCTCTGGTAGAATTCAGCTGTGAATCTGTCTGGTCCTGGACTTCTTTTTATTGGTAGGCTCTTAATTACTGCCTCAATTTCAGAACTTGTTATTGGTCTATTCAGGGATTCGACATCTTCCTGGTTTAGTCTTGGGAGGGTGTGTGCGTCCAGGAATTTATCCATTTCTTCTAGATTTTCTAGTTTATTTGCATAGGGATGTTTATAGTATTCTCTGATGGTAGTTTGTATTTCTGTGGGATCAGTGGTGATATCCCCTTTACCATTTTTTATTGTGTCTATTTGATTCTTCTCTCTTTTCTTCTTTATTAGTCTGGCTAGTGGTCTATTTTGTTAATCTTTTCAAAAAAACAGCTCCTGGATTCATTGATTTTTTTGAAGGGTTTTTTATGCCTATCTCCTTCAGTTCTGCTCTGATCTTAGTTATTTCTTGTCTTCTGCTAGCTTTTGAATTTGTTTGCTCTCGCTTCTCTAGTTCTTTTAATTGTGATGTTAGGGTGTTGATCTAGATCTTTCCTACTTTCTCTTGTGGACATTTTGTGCTATAAATTTCCCTCTACAGACTGCTTTAAATGTGTCCCAGAGATTCTGCTATGTTGTGTCTTTGTTCTTGTTGGTTTCAAAGAACATCTTTATTTCTGCCTTAATTTTGTTTAATTTACCCAGTAGTCATTCAGGAGCAGCAGGTTGTTCAGTTTCCATGTAGTTGTGCAGTTTTGAGTGAGTTTCTTAATCCTGAGTTCTAATTTGATTGCGCTGTGGTCTGAGAGACTGTTACGATTTCCATTCTTTTGCATTTGCTGAGGAGTGTCTTCCAATTATGTAGTCAATTTTAGAATAAGTGTGATGTGGTGCTGAGAAGAATGTATATTCTGTTGATTTGGAGCGGAGAGTACTGTAGATGTCTATTTAGGTCTGCTTGGTCCAGAGCTGAGTTCAAGTCCTGGATATCCTTGTTAATTTTCTGTCTCGTCAGTCTGTCTAATATTCACAGGGAGGTGTTAAAGTCTCCCACTATTATTATGTGGGAGTCTAAGTCTCTTTATAGGTCTCTAAGAACTTGCTTTATGAATCTGGGTGCTCCTGTATTGGGTACGTATATATTTAGGATAGTTAGCTCTTCTTGTTACATTGATTCCTTTACCATTATGTAATGACCTTCTTTGTCTCTTTTGATCTTTGTTGATTTAAGGTCTATTTTTTCAGAGACTGGGACTGCAACCTCTGCTTTTTTTGCTTTCCATTTGCTTGGTAAATATTCCTCCATCCCTTTATTTTGAGCCTATTTGTGTCTTTGCACATGAGATGGGTCTCCTGAATACAACACACTGATGGGTCTTGACTCTTTATCCAATTTGCCAGTCTGTGTTTTTTAATTGGAGCATTTGGCCTGTTTACATTTAAGGTTAATATTGTTATGTGTGAATTTGATCCTGTCATTATGATGCTAGCTGGTTATTTTGCCTGTTAGTTTATGCAGTTTCTTCATAGTGTCGATGGTCTTTACAATTTGGTATGTTTTTGCAGTGGCTGGTACCGGTTGTTCTTTTCCATATTTAGTGCTTCCTTCAGGAGCTCTTGTAGGGCAGGCCTGGTGGTGACAAAATCTCTCAGCATTTGCTTGTTTGTAAAGGATTTTATTTCTCCTTCGCTTATGAAGCTTAGTTTGGCTGGATATGAAATTCTGGGTTGAAAATTCTTTTCTTTACAAATGCTGAATATTGGCCCCCACTCTTTTCTGGTTTCTGCCGAGAGATCCACTGTTAGTCTGATGGGCTTTCCTTTGTGGGTAACCCGACTTTTCTCTCTGGCTGCCCTTAACATTTTTTCCTTCATTCCAACCTTGGTGAATCTGATAATTATGTGTCTTGGGGTTGTTCTTCTCGAGGAGTATCTTTGTGGTGTTCTCTGTATTTCCTGAATTTGAATGTTGGCCTGCTTTGCTAGGTTGGAGAAGTTCTCCTGGATAATATCCTGCAGAGTGTTTTCCAACTTGGTTCCATTCTCCCCATCACTTTCAGGTACACCAATCAGACGTAGATTTGGTCTTTTCACATAGTCCCATATTTCTTGGAGGCTTTGTTCGTTTCTTTTCACTCTTTTTTCTCTAATCTTGTCTTCTCACTTTATTTCATTGAGTTGATCTTCAATCTCTGATATCTTTTCTTCTGCTTGATCGATTTGGGTATTGATACTTGTGTATGCTTCATGAAGTTCTTGTGCTGTGTTTTTCAGCTCCATCAGGTCATTTATGTTCTTCTCTACACTGGTTATTCTAGGTAGCAATTTGTCTAACCTTTTATCAAGGTTCTTAGCTTCCTTGCATTGGGTTAGAACATGCTCCTTTAGCTCGGAGGAGTTTGTTATTACCCACCTTCTGAAGCCTACTTCTGTCAATTCGTCAAACTCATTCTCCATCCAGTTTTGTTCCCTTGCTGGCGAGGAGTTGTGATCCTTGGAGGAGAGGAGGCATTCTGGTTTTTGGAATTTTCAGCCTTTTTGTGATGGTTTCTCCTCATCTTCATGGATTTATGTACCTTTGGTCTTTGACGTTGGTGACCTTCGGATGGGGTCTCTGAGGGGACGTCCTTTTTGTTAATGTTAATGCTATTCCTTTCTGTTAGTTTTCCTACTAATAGTCCCCTCTGCTGCAGGTCTGCTGGAGTTTGCTAGAGGTCCACTCTAGACCCTGTTTGCCTGGGTATCACCAGCAGGGGCTGCAGAACAGCAAACATTGCTGCCTGTTCCTTCCTCTGGATGCTTAGTCCCAGAGGGGTACACACCAGATGCCAGCCAGAGCTCTCCTGTATGAGGTGTCTGTCAGTCCCTACTGGGCGGTGTCTCCCAGTCAGGATACAGTGGAGTCAGAAACCCACTTGAGGGGGCAGTCTGTCCCTTATCAGAGCTTGAACGCTGTGCTGGGAGATCTGCTGGCTCTCTTCAGAGCTGTCAGGCAGGGACATTTAAGTTTGCTGAAGCTGTGCCCACAGCCACCCCTTCCCCCAGGTGTTCTGTCCCAGGGAGATGGTGGTTTGTATCTATAAGTCCTTGACTGGGGCTGCTTTTTTTTTTTTTTTTTCCAGAGATGCCCTGCCCAGAGAGGAGGAATCTTGTGCTTGGTTTTTTGGCATGGTGGTGCATGCCTGTAATACTAGCTACTTAGGAGGCTGAGGTGGGAGGATGACCTGAGCTAGGGAGGACTAGGTTGCATTGAGCTGTGATTGCACCACTGCATTCCAGCCTGGGCAACAAAGCAAAACCCCATCTCTTAAAAAAAAAAAAAAAAAAAAAAAAAAAAAAAGAGGCTTGGCATCCTTGGAACTAGTTATAACAGAATTGAATACTGCTTGTCCTCTTTTATGCAGTTGCAGGTCACTGGGCCAGAGGTTTCTGTTTATTGGCTTTCTCTTTCTCCTCTACACTTGTCTGAACTCCCTGAATAGAAACACCTGACTGTCTACTAAAATGCCAAGTGGTCCTGCTAACTCTCACTCTTCACATTAGCATACTTACCCTGAACTGCAAACAGGATAAATTTGGGGTATGATCTTCAGGGTTATGATTAGACTTTTCATGCTTCATCTGGTTGCCCTGATACCTGCTAGACTTGTTTAGGTTAAGGCTGAAAAACGGGCAGCAAGAAACACATACTAGGGTCCAGCTGCCCTTCTTTCAATGCTGATGGGAGCCGCACAAACAGAGCTTATGGATCTGATTGCTCAAATGTGGAGGGCGAGACTGAGATTTTTTTCTATTGAAATGTTGAAAGTTAGACAAAACATATTAAGACAATTAAATTTTATGAAATACAGTCCTAAATTTATAGAAATGCACTGCCATCTACTGCATATAAAAAATCATTGCAGGGTATGTTCCTCCCACTGGAATTATTTATAATCAAGCAGTCACACACACTGAAATGTACATGAATTTATAAGATGTGGCAACTGCCACAAAGAACTCATTTAGACTTTTATAACCTTTAATTTTCTTATCTGAAATGTTCTCAGTTTTCCATTTTGTCTCTTTAAATTCTATTTTCATATTTTCATTGAATTAATTCTTGCAATTACATTTTAAATCTTATAATGTTCTCATTCTTTGAATTCCTTCCTTTTAATAGCATCCTCTTATTTCATGTGTATGGTATTGTCTTATCTGGGGATATGAACTGCGTTTTGTTTTTCTACTTCCTGCACCAATTCTGTTCCCTTTGCGTTCCTTCCTCCCCTCCCATTGCTTATATGGATCTCTCCCAGTCCTGAAGCGTTCCTCAGTAGTCTGATGATCGTGAGCTGTCCACTAATGCTGCTAGCAAGGTGCCAGCAAGCTGACAGCAGTGCGAGGGATTTGTTCACAGGCAGGCTTCTCTGGCCAGGATGGGCTGTTTCATTGAGAACCCTCAAACTGCCAGTATATATATGAGCATTTTTTTCTTGGACAGGATTTCTCAGAAAGGAACCCTTTAACTTCCTGCTTAAAGGATGTTAAATAGATGCCAGTTTTCTAGGAGCTTAGGAGGAGAAGGCAGCTGGGCATCTCGCTGCTCAGTGTGTAGACGTCCACTTAATCCTCTGCTTTCAGTATAACACTCTGGCCTTCATCTCTGCCTGGTATTCCCGAATCCAGAGGTCCTGATTCCACAACTCCAGAAAATAAGACCACCAGTGTTCCATGCGGGAGTGGGACAGTTTCCATAGGTGAAAAGGGTTAACTAGGAGGGTCTCACTGTGGCTTAACAGACTTTCCACTGCTCCCATTTTTGACCACACTTCACCTGTCTTTGGAGGAACCTAGTGGACAAGCTTTAAGGTCTTGAATCAGCTTGCTTCTGCCCCTCTCCCCACCACCTCCTGTGGGCACTCAGCTTTCATTTTTCTGTAGTTTATTTAGTTACCAATTGCCCATTTGCTTCCTAGTTTCTAAAAATTATTTTGTCGTCTCTCTGTTATCTCTTATTCTTTTTGGCCTGGAGTTTATATTGTCTTTTTTGTTTGCTGTGTTTTGTTGGTTTTTGGATTTTGGAGGTAAAAGTAACTGTGTTACTTTTGAGATGGAACAGGGACCCCTCTTAGGGGCCTGCAGCCTGTCCCCGCACCAAACAAAATTTTTTTAAAATCTTGAATTCCTTAAAAAAAAATTCCAGATACCTAGCTAGCCCTAAAAAATAACATAATGAACAAAAAGATAATAACTTAAAACAATAGCCAAAAAAATTAGTCACTGGATGGTTTGGGTCTCTATAAAAACTAAAAAGAGCATCTTATAACATACGTCCCTAAGTTGTTTTTCAAAAAACCAGACCCGCCACCAAGTGGATCCACTGACACATAAACCTCTAGTAAGGGGGAAATGAAGATTAAATGCTGCCACTCCTTGCTCTGAATTTCTTCCTGAAGGGTCTAAAAGAAGTCATACCCAAGAGCCAGGGCCAACATTCTTTTCTGATGACCCCAAAATTTTAAATAAAGCTTCTCTTCCTTAACCAATTACAAATCAAAAAAATCTTTAAATCTGTTACCTATAAGCCCCCACTTCAAGATATCCCACCCTTTTAGGCCAAACCAATGTATTATAGAACCTCCATGTATTAATTTACAATTTTGCCTATAACTCTTGCTTAAAATGTACCCCTGCATTTAAAAACCCTTCCTTATGAGCCATTGAAGAGGTCAGGTCCTAAGCATAAACTGCCCAATTCTCCTTGCTTCAAGGTGCCTACAAATAAATGCCCCCCTTTCTCCTGCTGAAAACCTTGGTATGGATGTTTGGCCTTACCATGCTGGGCAAGCAGACCCCAGTTCAGTTTAATAACATTGTTGAGATTTTTCATTAATTCATTAGTATTGGTATTTATTATAACTTCTAGTTTCCCTCCATGCAAATTTGACCATGCCTTATATTGTCACCTAAGTCGTTAATGAACATGGTGGCATGTCATTTGCAGTTTCTCTCCAGTCTACATCAGTCTGTCAACATGCATTCTTTGAGTTCGGTCATTCTACCGGCTGAAGAACCAGCCACACTTTCCCATTCAATCCATAAGCATATCACAGCAGTCTTCCTCACAGACTCTGCTAAAACCCAGATACATAAAATGTAAGATAGTCCTCAGAACCACCAGTCTAGTACCAAGCAAAAAGAGTGTATCTCCTAAAAGATTGAAGTGGAAGTTATTATAGAATCAAGGATATCCTGATCAAAGAATCAAAGAATCTATCTGGATTCTAGAATGAATCCAAGGGTGAGAAGGCAGCTGGCCTTTTTGCTTGGAAAAAAAGAGTAAGTATCCTAAGGAACATCACTTCAAAGAACACACAGATGGCTGGAATCATGCCAGCACTAACATGCCCAAGTGGTTTCCAGAATCCACCTTTTGCCCACTTAAAAAATTCAGTTCATTTGGTCATTTTCTTCTGAGAATGCCTCAAAATTCTAATTTGCAGTTTCATAGCATAGCCATTAGTATAGGGACTATGGGCCTGGAGATGCAGTTCATTTCTAGTCCCCCCTTACTCATATCCTCACCCAATATCTTGGCCATTAACTCCTTTCCTACCCTGTTCAGTATTATGTTGGAGTATATATTCTTTCAATATGAACTATAGTATTATAATACTATTAGCTTTACAACACCACAGCAGGAACATTCCTCCTGTTCTTGCTCTGAATGATTTTGAAAAGCCTGTTTATTGTGGATTAGACTTCGTGACACTACTTGTAATTCAGCAACAAATTTTTATATTCATTTCTGTTTGCTTTATACTTTCTTCCTATGAAAATGGCTAGAAAGCAGTAATGCTAAATTAAAAGAAAGATGGAATGGTGGTCGATCAGGTCAAAATTTTTTGTATGTGCATTTAACAGAAAAACCCAAGCTGGTGTAAATATTAAAGTGGAAACTATAACAGAATCAAGGCTATCTCCTAGAACGAATCCAAGGGTAAGAAGGCAGCTGGCCTGAGGATAGAACTGAAAACTGGAAATCTCTGGGACTTCAGAGAGAACTCTCCTTCGCTCATCTTTACTTCTCTTAATGCAGACACCTCACTTTTTTTTTTTTTTTCAACAGAACGGGTTAACTGCTAGTTGGCCTCATTGTTCTGAAGTTCTGGCCCTACATGAACTATTTCAAGTCTGAAATTCCCAGGGAAGGCGGGAGGAAACTCCTGATTGGCCCAGGTTGGTTCAGGAGCAGACTCCCTCCTCGATCAACTGTGATCATGCAGGAGCAGCAGAGTCTCAGTGCATAAAACAGGTACCAGGACCCCACTGCTAAGGTGAGGATGGGAGGTAAGAGAATAGGAGCTTTTAAAAAGAGACCCCAAAAGATGTTTTTATACAGGGGCTTTGATGGGCTGAAGGCCTGGAAGACAGAAACACTGCCAATGTCTTTTTTCTTTCTAAAATAAACTTATGCTTGGCTGGGTGCAGTGGCTCACACCTGTAATCCCAGCACTTTGGGAGGCCGAGGCGGGCGAATTACGAGGTCAAGAGATCGAGACCATCTTGGCCAACATGGTGAAACCCTGTCTCTACTAAAAATACAAAAATTAGCTGGAGGTGGTGGCAGGCACCTGTAGTCCCAGCTACTCGGGAGGCTGAGGCAGGAGAATCGCTTGAACCTGGGAGGTGGAGGTAGCAGTGAGCAGAGATCATGCCACTGGACTCCAGCCTGGAGACAGAGTGAGACTCCGTCTCAAAAGAAAAAAAAAAAACAAACCTTATGCTTAATGTTTGTTGTTACTCTGAACTACAGCAACTGTGTTCTTCTGAAGGAAAATCTCTGAGCAAGGAGCAGCTTACTAGTGATCTTGAACATGCTATTTAATCTCTAGATACAAAGTGGTGATGACAATATCAATAATAACTACCTTGCAGTTCCCTGAGAGAATCAGAGATAACATATCCAAAGTGTTTAGCACCATACTTAGCATACAGTAGCAGAGTAAAAACTCAGCAAATGGAAGCTATGATTTTAAAAGCTAAACAAAACTATACAATATCAGCTGGTTTTTTTTTCCCTTAGGGAGACTTATTTCCTCCACGGCTATTTAGTAGACACTGGAGCCACAGTCCAGTGAGCTAATTTAAGAGAGAAACTCGGAGCACAGAATGCTCAGTTCCACAGAATTCCAACACACAAGTCTAACTTATTACTGTATCTCAGTTACCTCTACCATTACCTATAAATGGCATAAAGTAAAAATTAAGCATGTGAAACAGTTAACCTCAATTATAAAAATAAAATGCATTTAAATTATACACATGGAGTATACAATATATTTACTTATTGCATACAAATTCTGCTCAACTAGAAAGTTTTGTGTACAGTAGAAACAGTGGTAAGAATTTCTAATAAGTCCCAATTTTATTTCTTTGATCCTAAGCCTCTACTTGTTTCCCTCCCACAATTGGGCTGGGTGTTACTAACCCATGTGCACATTAATTACAGCATTTATTTTTCCCTAAAAAGTTGTTATTAAGCTAACAGTATATCATCTAAAAAGTACTGTTAACTTAAATTCAAGAACATATAATAAATAGTGGAGATGAGTAAACAAACAAAAAAAAAGTTTTTTACTTTATCAATCAGCAGTATGTCCTTTATTCCATACGTACTACTTGCCCAGTCTTATATTACTTGTGATCTTGAAATGGAAACCATGTCCTGTTATTGAACAAGCTCTTCTCTATTTTTTCATCAGAAAGCCACAAATATAGATAAAGCATTTTTTTATTTGCCTTGGAGCAATATATTTTGAATTAAGCCCAGCCTCCCATGTTTCAGTTTAGGTAGCTAAGATACATGCTGGTGAAAAGTAAAAAACTAAATTATTTGTCTTTCTGCCTACCACATAACTATTTTAAATAATTTTCTTAGGTGCTTAGTTATCATGGTCATGACATCATAAAGAGTCCCACTTTGTCTTTCCTTTAATAATAAGCAACCTCTGTTTATACGTATTTGAAAAACTGCCTCATGTGATATTGACAGAGCTATAGTATTAAATACAAAGATGAATAAATGGTGTGAGTGAAAAATAGTGTATTCGACTCCAAGCTAGCTCAAAGGCTTACACGTCCATTTCAACATTGGGAACAATTCACTATAGAATGTGAAAGGAAAATGACAGACCAATATACAAATTTTTGTAGGAATAATTTTGCATATATACCACAAGATCATTATCACATATTAAAAATAAATACACTGTTTGTTAGGTAATTCTGAAATTGTCATTTCTATTTTGGAGTTACAAATAATAAGCCCTGAGACAGAAGACACTGGTCCTCACACAGCAGCTGCCATTGCTCTGTTCTCAGTTGCGGTGCTTTATATAGAACAATAGGTATACAAAAGCGTTTGAGCCATTCCGGTATTCCCACTGCTCTGATAGATGAGAGACAAGTTGTAGGCAATATCTCTTCGTAAGTCTAACTGGTCAAGTTCTATACCCTAGGGAGAAAAAGATACCTTTATGTTTAATATTTCCAACTGTCAACCGGGACAATTTTATGGCAAATTAATAGTTTTATAAGTGTAAGTAAGTTTTCAAAAGGTATTAAAGCTCATGTACTAAAAAAAAATTATAAAACTATGCATATACCTTGGATCAATGCTGATTCAGTTAACAGCATCATCAAATATTTTAACAGTAATTTAAAGTCTCACCCACAAGCTACGGCAGAATAAACGCCAGATGAATTTTGGATTTTAGAGTTAAAAAAGAAACCATAAAAGAAAAAATACAATGGGATAATATAATCTTGGATAGGAAAGGTCCTTTTTATGATAGCAAAAGTAGCAACTATAAAGGGAAAGATTGGTATGACTTCATAAAAAACTTCTCTGTGTAAAAATAACATAGTATTAAATGAACACCAATGAGCCAATGGGAAAACAATTCCTATGCTATCACGGAAAGGCATATAAAGTGTAGGTTTAGGAGGGATACAACAAATTGACTCCAATATTACCTCAGGGGTATTATAGTTTTTCCCACATACATAACAATGCAATGAATTCAATGGACTAGATTAGACCTATGTTTCTAATCTTCCCCAATACAAAAACTTTGGGTCAACTGAAAAAAAAATCTGCAACAATTAAAAATGATACCTATAAAGCTCAATTAACAAGATGTAACAATATTTATGAAATAACACTGTATAAACAACCTTTAATAAACAATCTCTTAGGTGTATTTGAAAACTGCCTCCAGTAATATTGACAGGACTATAGTATTAAATGCAAAGATTAATAAATGGTGTGAGTAAACAATAGTGTTTTTATACATATAAAAATATATATAAATATGTATATATGAATATGCGTATACACCTATTTTTATATATACATATGCATATATAAATAATATGTATGAAATACATATATAAATATGTATAAAATATTCAAATAGTAAATTTATATATAAAAACAGCATCACTATAAAATATATATTCATTTGTTTAAACTGAACAGTAATAGAAAAACAATTGTGCCGGGCGCAGTGGCTCACGCCTGTAATCCCAGCACTTTGGGAGGCTGAGGCGGGCGGATCACAAGGTCAGGAGATCGAGACCATCCTGGTTAACATGGTGAAACCCCGTCTCTACTAAAAATACAAAAAATTAGCTGGGCGTGGTGGCAGGCACCTGTAGTCCCAGCTACTCAGGAGGCTGAGGCAGGAGAATGGCGTGAACCCGGGAGGCGGAGCTTGCAGTGAGCCAAGATCGTGCCACTGCACTCCAGCCTGGGCCACAGAGCAAGACTCTGTCTCCAAAAAAAAAAAAAAAAAAAAAAATTGTGAGGGAGTACAGGAGGGATTATGAGTTTTAAAAGTTTGTTTCTAATACAGTGCTATGTTAAAATACATTTAAAAATTAACATATTTCAGGATTTAAAATAAAAATCAGACTTTAAACACAGATCATCATAGTATTGGCAACACTTTACCCTATCTTAAAAAAAAGCTACATTAATACTGGTCTTTCATCTTTATAAAGAAACATGTGAATTACACTTGGAAACAGTCACAATATTCTTCACTATTCAGAGGTTACGTCTACCAGTTCCTGTCTGTAAAGCACAGGAACTACCCTGGAAACTAAAATGCTCACAGCCACAAGCTGTATATGTTCATATGGTTGCTGGTCAAGTCATAAGGCTCAGATGTCGAAGTGGTACCTGTTCCTGAACATAATTACGTAAACATACTGAATAAGAGAAAATACATTTTAATATACGAGCTATAATTTACTGGCTGGACTTAGCTAACTGCCCTTATCTACAGACAGATGAAATGAAGTGTCTCAGTTTTAAAAATGCACAATACCTCTACCACAAGTGGAGGGAGCTCCAGGGCCTTCTGATAATAGTGGATTGCAAGATGAATCAGCCCCAACTGATGAAGGCCACGGCCCAAATTGTAGAATGATTCCTGGCAGGGCCCACGTAAACTGAGGTATCGATTAAGAAAGGAAAAGCCCTAACCAAAAAGAAAAAGATAATTCAATATTTCACTGATTTGACAATTATGTACTAGACCACTGTATTACCAGGTGCTGAAAATACAAATATTTTTTAAAAACCTATCTATCTGCTTAGTGTCCTATTACTGTGTAGTATTACAGTGTAGTTAGGTGTCAACATTATAGCTCTTCTGAAGATGTAAGAATTTTTTTTAGCTAGGGATAAATATTCACAGAAAACAGAGCCAAATGTTACAAGTAGTTACCAGAGATTCATAATCTACAAATACACAAAACTTTTAAAAAATAATTTGAAGTTGGCTTGTGCCGTTATAGGCCAATAAACTTTTTGATGTGAGATTGACGCCTAAAAGATTGAGCAAGATATAAAATAATGATAATGTACAAAGGTTTCCTCTCAGGAGCAAATTCACTTGAGTATACTTAACCTTTTAGGGTAAATTTTACCTTTTATAAGTTACTTCTCAGGACCTTGATAACCTCTTAACCCAAAAAAACTGGATTTTTTTCTCCTGAAAGCTTCTGACTCAAAGACTATGGAGAAACTATTTCAGAGCACAGCTACAATGACGCTGGCTCCCTGTGGGTCACACAGTCCAAAAAGCAACTTGTTTCTTTACCTCTTCCCATATTCACTTTCCCTTTTAATAGAGCTTCAGCTTTTATCATTCACTGAAATTACAAATTGCAAAGGTCTGAGTCCTAATTAAGTAATCAAATATATTACCAGATAATTAAGAATAAATCAATTTATGAATATAGAATATAAAATGTAATTATTCTCTAGATGATCTGCTATATAATAAGTGGTCACAAATTTTCCTTTATAAATAGGTAAATAATAAAAATGAATTATTTTAAATGAATGCATTTTAGGGGTAGTAATACTCGTGTTCAGTATACAAATCATACTTTCTGCATAATAAAATAACCTATTTGTGTGACTATGACCTCTATTCCACTGAAAGACACAGCTCTCTTAAGTACCAGCAGACTATTCGACTGCAAAGAAATATCAAGTATTCATAGTTAAAAATGACAAATTTAAAGATAAAAATATGAGGAAAAAGGAATAGTAATCTCAGATGAATTGTTGTAATGCAAATGAACCTGTAGGTCCCCTAATACAATAATGGAATAACTTGCTGCCCTTTAAGAAATGTTTAACAAATTTAAGAGGATAACCTGAAAGACTATTCAAATAATATTTAGTGATTTAAAAACTAGCCAATGTGGGTAGCCACTTTGTAGGTACTGTGAATTATCAAATTTAAAAACTGCAAAACAAATTCTATTGTTCTATTCTGTTCTGTTCTCCCAAATGGAGTCTTGCTCTATCACACAGGAGTGCAGTGGTGTGATCTCAGCTCATTGCAACCTCCACCTCCTGGGTTCAAGCGACTCTCCTGCCTCAGCCTCCCGAGTAGCTGGGATTACAGGCACACGCCACCACACCTGGCTCATTTTTGTATTTTTATTAAGACCATGTTTCACCATATTGGCCAGGCTGGTCTCAAACTCCTGACACCTCAAGTGATCCACCCGCCTCGGCCACCCAAAGTGCAGGGATTACAGGTGTAAGCCACTGTGCCTCGCCAAAAACACACAGTTTAAATTGAAAAGAAAAGAGTTCTTTTGACATTATGTTACATTTCAAACATTTAAATCAAATTAATCACTAAAGGGCCCAATGTACTCACTGTCTATACAATATTAAATAAAAGTAGAAGTAATGAAACATTGACGATTTTACTTTTAATACAATATAAAGGTAAGAAAGATAATAAACCATAAAAAAAATTTTTTTAGGTAGTATAATAGAAAACTATAGTCTTGTAGCAAGAAGAAAGAAAAATAAGAGAAATTAAAAGTTTCAGAAATGATGCTATTTACAATAAAACCTGCTTCTCAGAAACTTTTTTTATGGAAAATGTTTAACATACACAAAAGAGATTAGTCCAATGAACTTCCATATTCTCATTACCTCTTGTTTCATCTCTACCTCCAACCACTTGAAACCTCCTATTTAACTATAAAAGTAATTTGAAATTTAGCTTCCATATTACTTTGAAGTACATGAATTTTTGTCCTACCAAGCCCAAAAACTACATATTTTACATATTTAATGAGTTAATCCATAAAATTTTCCTATCAATTTTTACCAGAATTTTATGAGGGCAAGAAATTCCATCTGTGTACTTACTCACTGCTACGTCCCCGATTCCTGGCACACAATGAGCACTACGTTTAATTTATACACAATCCTACATTACTTAGTACAGCAAATAGTATCCATTAAGGAAGAAAAAGAAGCTTTGAGGAAAAGGTAGATAAGAATATAAAAAAGGAAAAATTTAGAAGTTTTTGTTTTTCAGGATTTTTAAAAAACTTATTATAGAAATTTTCAAATATACAACAGTAAAGAGACCACCTTAATGAACTCATACCTAGTTTCAACTGTTATCACCATTTTAATGCAGGCTTTATTTTAACCATTTTACTTTAAAAGAAACAAAAAGCCCCTTACTAGACCCTGCAACTCCATTCAAGTCAACATTTTCTTTCTTTTCTCACCTACTACTTAATAAAAGACATGTCTATACCATATCATATTTTGGAAACATCAAACATACAAAAATGAAGTCACAGAAATGAAAATGCTGAAGGCAAAGTAGTGAACAATATTTCTGATCTGCTGGACTTTATACTTTTATTAGAAGAGACAAGCCATTAAGGTAGACAACAAGAAACATAATTTCAAATTATTATAAGAACCACAAAGAAAATTTTAAAAGGACAGTTTGTTGGTGATGGTGTAAGGAAACAGGCACAATCATATTATTGTATAATTTTTTTTTTCAACTACTTTAAGTGAATCTTCAGTACCTCAGATGGTTAGAGACCTTGAGGACCAGACTATAAGGAAGCCTGCCAGTGCATTCCTCCAGATTCTGCCTGTGTCTTTGTCCCTAAAGATCTGGCTGTGTACCTTTACTATATCGCTGTAATAAGTCTTAATCATGAGTATAATTATATGCTGAGTGCTGAACACTGGGGTAAGTGTTGGGGACCCCCGTCATGTGTACTGAGAGCATTGTGTATTACTTTTGAAGCAGGATTTTTAAAAAAAGTATTAAGTATATTCATTTTTAAGAAACATAAAATCAAGTAACGAGAAATTTGAATGAATTACCTGTACAATAAGAGCATGTCTCCGTAACACATACTTCTGAGATGCCATATGAATAAAGGTTAGGCCTATACAGAAGCTATAGAGAGGTTCGTCAGGGTGAGTGCGAAAGGCTTGCACATACTGTCCTGGAAAATAAGCAGTGGTGTCAGACGGTGTGACAAGAACAGAGTTATTTATTTCTTCAACACTTTTAAGGCCAAACATTACTGATTTTAACATACATAAGGTGGACATTCTATCTTAAATAGCAACCAGAGACCTATTAATTTGAATTTTAAAACAATGTATAAAATAAAACAAGTTCCCCATGAATGTATGCTGACCATGAAGATTCATATGAGGAACTAAATTAACTTTTTCTAGGCACAGCTAGACATTTCCATGTAAAGTAATACTTCCAAAATAAACAATTTATCAGCTGCAATCATTAAATCTATTTTATGACCTTAAATCTAGTTTGAAAAGAATGGAGGAGGTGTGTTTTGGTGAACATTTTTATAGAATCAACTGATCTGTTTTATAAATTCAAATGTGGTGGATCATGGAGGTGAGAAGAGGAAAGCTTTGTTTTGTTTTTTAGACTACAGGTGTTGTTTTCCCAAATGTAGCAATTATTTGTTTTTTCTGAGAAAGCTAAATGTATCCAATAACAGAATAAGAATTTGGAGTTTTATGAATTACATGTATTCCATATATACAATCATCTCTTGTCAAAAGCCTAATCATATGCAGTAGGGGTATTTAAGCAAGTTTTTCTCATAAAGGAATAACATATAATGTATCACATATAGATGAAAATTTCTCTTCCTTCTGGCTTCTATTTTGGAAGGAATGGCACCACAGAATCTCTTAGGCAGCAAAGATGGTAGACTGCCATTTGTCTATCATTTTAACCTTTTGTAAAAGTTTCTAATATAGGAAAATAAAATATTTTTATTTTCTTAATATAAAACAATTCCACAAAGCACACACAAAAGAGGAATGTTTCAACATCTGATGTTTGAGGTTACTGGATGAACGATGATAAAAATACGGGCCATATACAAGGAATCATGAACGTATCAAATAGCCAAAAACCATAGTTTACTCATAAGAAGTAAATCTGGCAACACCACCTTTTAGGTAGTAAGACATGCATGCCTAATTTTAAGTTTAAACATTTAGTTAGTTAGATGTTTTTCTACTTGTTTGCTTCTTCTTTAATTTTTTTTTAAAAGGAGACTCTGCAAGTAATACTTGTTTACTTCTGATTCCTTATTACAGAAATTCCTTATTATAAATGATTAATGAAGTTTCCTTGAGTTTAATTAGAATTAGTAACCACCACATAAATAAATCTTAATATAGATTTAGCTCCTGAAGGAATGAACTTTCAGCAAATCTTGAATGTTTTGCATTATGGCAAATTAAAATCAGGTGGCAAAAGCATCCATAATTAATGAAAATCATTTTAAAAATAAATAGGCCTAAGCAGGGAGAATTGTTGACCGTTAAAATGAATTTTATAAGACCTGTGTCAGCCTTTTACAACCAAAGCTTAGTAAGAATAACAAATATTAATATTAGTAATTATCATTTTTGCTATTATATCCACTTACTATATGTGCCAGGCACTGTTTTAAGTTCTTTATATTGATTCATTTAATTTTCACAATTATCTACAAAGTAGGTCCAATTATTATCTCCATTTTAGAGATCAAGAAACTGAGGCAGGAGGAGGTAGAATAATTTGTCACAGTGAGGCTGATAATTAACCCAGACAGTTCCAATCCAGAGGCTAGGCTCTTCACCACACTATTTATGCTTGACAAAGTCACGTGCCAGGACACTTACCAAGCGCATGCTTAAAACTACCAGATACAAATGCATTGTGTCCATTTAAGACACATAGGGCATGATTTTCTGGGTTTTTCAGCATCAAACGGAGACAGAAGCGATGATGTCGTACATCTTGGGAGTGCATGGTAACTTGATTGAAAATGTTCCAGAGCTGGGGTTTATTGACATTTTCCATTACCATTATCCTAAAATTGCAGGAAGAGGGTGAGGGAGAAAATAATGTAAAAATCTTCCTGATTTCTAAAAATGAAACCCTTCAGTGCTGTCCTACCAGCACTGAAATGTACCATCCTCCAACAAGGAAAAGCAGATAGTTTCAATCTATTTAAAGCAAAACTCTCCTACGCAATAAAAGATTTTTCCCAGAAAATGTTGCTTAAGTTAGTGTTTCTATATCTTATTTCTACTTTCAACAAAACTTTTAAACTAAAACAGGAGCAAGTGGTTTAGGTTTCACTTTTTCTCTCCTTGCCCACTATAGCTGCAGTACCGAATAACAATTCATAATATTTGCCAGGCATTGGCCGGGCACCGTGGCTCACGCCTGTAATCCCAGCAATTTGGGAGGCTGAGGCACCTGAGGTCGGGAGTTGGAGACCAGCCTGACCAACATGGAGAAACCCCGTCTCTACTAAAAATACAAAATGAGCTGGGCCTGGTGGCACACGCCTGTAATCCCAGCTACTTGGGAGGCTGAGGCAGGAGAATCGCTTGAACCTGGGAGGCGGAGGTTGCGGTGAGCCGAGACTGTGTCATTGCACTCCAGCCTGGGCAATAGGAGCAAAACTCCATCTCAAATAATAATAATAATTATAATAATAATAATTGCCAGGCATTATTAAAAAGGCATAACAACTCCTTTAACCTTCATCATAACCCTATGAGATGGCAGTATTATGATATCCTTTTATAAGTGGGAAGACTGTGGCACTAGAGATTACCTAACTAGCCTAAGGTCACGCAGCCAGTAGGCGTCAGGGCTGGGATTTGAACCCAGAAAGTCTGGTCCTAGAGTGCATCTTCTTATATACTGCCTCTGGGAATCACCAATTAACCAGTTTATTGTTTAATGGGAGAGCCAAAAGTAAAGTAGCTTCTAAATCAAAGTACATGTACTTACTCTATTAAAGAATCTAATTAAAATAAATAACTGGGAAATCACCTGATATAGTTGTATGCCTTTCTGAAATTTTTGTCCAGAATTGCAGCAGACAGACCAAAGTATTCTAGTTCTTTGCGTTTTTGCCTGTCATCATAAAATGAGTAATATTCCAATGAGGAATCTACAAGCAACTCAGCCTCTTGAAATCGGGATAGGTCACATAAGGAGTATATGGCCTTCAACAGAAGATTCCACCAGTCATCCTTTGTCAAGACGCTTGTGAGCACAGCAAATATTGCTAAAATGAGACCAATGAAAACCAGTTAGGACACTGTATTTCCAGAAATAGCAGTATTAGAAAAATTCACATCATCAATTTTAAGACAAGTTTAATAACCATGAGCCTAAATTGTTGCCAGTGCTCTCCGGACAAAGATGAGAAGGGGTAGTTGCTTGCTTACACTCCTTCAATACTATCCGCTTCTTCTCTGCCAGTTTAACAATCTGCATTCCCAGGCACCTGATTCGGACTTGGTCTCTACAAGTTCCAGCTAGTTCCATCTGCATTTCTCCTTGCTAGCTAAGATATATCTCCTCCAGGGTAGAACAAGTATACTTTCTATGACTGTAATCCCATAGGGAAGCAGTCCCCAACCTTTTTGGCACCAAGGACCAGTTTCATGCAAGGCAATTTTTCCATGGGCCAGGGCTAAGAAGGATGGTTTCAGGATAATTCAAGCACATTACATTTATTGTGCACTTTATTTCCATTATTATTGTTGTAATATATAATGAAATAATTGTACAACTCACCATAATGTAGAATCAGTGGGAGCCCTGAGCTTGTTTTCCTGCAACTAGACAGTACCATCTGGGGGTGATGGGAGACAGTGACAGATCATCAGGCATTCAATTCTCATAAGGAGCGTGCAACCTAGATCCCTCGCATGGGCAGTTTACAATAGGGTTTGCACTCCTATGAGAATCTAACGCTGCTGCTGATCTGACAGGAGGGGAAGCTCAGGTGGGAATGGTCGCTTGCCCACCCACTGCTCACCTCCTGCTGTGCGGCCCAGTCCCTAGCAGGCCACGGGCTGGTACCGGGGTTGGGGACCCCAGTGATAGAGGATTACGTACATACAGGCATTCAAATGTTTGCTCAGCAAAATACTTCAAATTCATACTTTGAGATTCAAGTTGTTCTTGATCTTTTTCTGATCTCAAGTCTCTTTAACAACCTCCTTCTCTTCCTTAGTTCTCTGTAAAAAGCCTCCCTTTGATAGCCCTTAAGGAATATCAAAAGCCATAAAAAATTTTACTGTCTTTGATCCAATAATTTTCCTTCTGAGAATCTATCCTAAACAAAATATGGACAAATCTGTATGTATGAAAATGCTTACTACATTACTGCTTATAAAACTGCCAAAAGTGACCATATGCCAAAAAATAAGAAAATGATTAAATTATGGAACCACTATCCAATGGAATACTACACATTCCTTAAATATAACTATGAAGAGAACAGAGCAACATGATAAAATGTCTATGAGAAAATGTAAAGTGAAAAGATCACAGTACAAAGTTGCATGTAACATAAAAAGGCTTAGTTCATCCTATCCTGGTACACCAGTGTAATGTGATCCTCACCATGATAAAATTTACAAAACAAAACAACAAAACCTTATGAGCCTAAGAAAAACTAACCATGGACCTCCAGTGAGGAATCACTGAAAGAAAACAGGCAGATCACACAGGGAGAAAAATACAACATAAGGAAACATGGTTAAAAACACAAGCTGCAGAGGTAGAATCTGTAGTCTTTTAAAGTTATATTACTTGAGACTAGGTCACAGCAACTTATTTTCAAAGAGTTTCTATGACTATTGCTACATTTGTTAAAAATTATTTCATAGAGAATGGAATATATATAAGTGAAGTCTGGACAAATCATCTATACTGTCATCTAATCTTCACAAATTTCTTAAAATATATTTTCTTTTTAAAAAGTCAAAGTTTTGTTTTACTTCTTTCACAGATCCAAGCAGATGCTTTCCTTTTAATTTTTTTTAATTTAAAGTATTTACATTTAGCCTTTCCTTTTTAACATCGAATGAGTTTATTACACTTGAGAGATTTAGATTGGAAAATTTCATTTTATTTGAAAAGTATATTTTCAATTAGATTGCTGTCCAGTGTTACTTCATGAGTCTTTTTCAATTCAGCCAAATTTTATATAACATAATGCAAATGAAGTTATTACCTTTTGCATCACAATTTGCTGACTCTTGGTCATTGCTGTCTGATATTTTGTCTCTCGATACTTTAATAAGATAAAGATGCCTCTCTCCAGACTTGGAACTGGATATCAAACAAACTTGGGCTCGATTCATTGCTACCTGAATTAAAGATGAAGATTTCAGATTCTTTAAACAATAACTGTTTTGTTTAGAGACAAAGTCTTGTTATGTTGGCTCAGGCTGGATTTGAACTCCTAAGCTCAAGTGATCCTCTCACCTTAGCCTCGCAAGTAGCTGGGACCACAGGCACATGCCACCATACCCAGCTCTAAACAATAATTTTTTAAAGAAAACCTATGGGTCACAGGTGCCACAAGACTGAAAGCTCCCTTAGTAAGAAAAAAGGAAACCAAATTACTATATTAAAAAACTAAAATTAGAATGAACTGACTTATTTTTCTCTTACCAAAGGAATTTTGGGTCACATTCCTCACCTCAGAAAGAAAAAAGGCAATTCACGTTAACATTATAACATGCATATACACACATCCCCAGAGATACACCCACAGAGCTACCTCCCTGCAAATAAGCTGGACTCGGAAAGAATATTAGATCTGGAAAATACTTTTGCAAAGTGAGTAATTTTGGCACATAGTACTGTCCACAGGGCCAATATCTGATAGACCATGGTGCTCACTTTTCTAAATATGTACTAGGGAAGATTTTCACTTAAGCTACTGTCAAGAACTTTCAGTCATATACCAATAACCTCTAGCTTTTTTGTTTTTATCTTTCATTTTTAAAAGTTTGAGTTTAATGAAGAAAAACAATTATAAAGTAGTATAATCTATGTTTAAATGAAATACTAAACATTTAAAAAGTCAACAAGGCTAACATAAAGAAAGATCATTACCCACCTTTAAAAGCATGGCTAACATAGTAAGTAAGGTATCCACATAACCATACATTTTGCCTTGTGAAAACAACAGAGTAGAACGATGAAGCAATAACTTCAGTTCCTAAACAAATAAGCACATGATGATGAGCCTAACAAGATTCCTTTTCTACAAATTGTTTTATTTGCATAGAAACATTTTTAAAAAAACAAACCATATTGCTTTATGGTCTTTCACAATAATTAAGAGCCAATATTTTAAAACTATAATTTGTAACCCAACCAGTGGCTGAAATCCAATACTTAAAATCATTTTTCAAAAACTTGAATACACTAAAATAAAATTTTGGATATAAGCTATAGAGACATCCTTAATGGAGGAGAAAGTTCTAAAATATAATATACCAAGAAAAACTTCCCTCTATGTGACATGGCCCACCTGCTGTGCAGCATTTGCATCCTGTGCTAAAGTATCTGGATCATACATTGGTTCCAGAGCTTCCAGAGCTTTCTCAGGCTGGCCCAGCTGCTGCTGAAGGGTAGAAAGTGAAATCCTTGCATCCAAATGGAGTGGGGCCAGATCAACCACCTTGCCATAGCTTTCAGCAGCTCGCTCCATATAGCCTAAGGCCTTTAAACATTCTAAGATGATGTTAAAATAAAGCAAAAGTATGAACTACAGATTTGTAAACTGGCCACAATTACTCTTCCATTTTAAAAGAAATATAGCAATATAAAAAATTATAACAAGAAATGAATGCGTATTTCTAGTACTTTAAAACTATCCCTAATCTCTATTAATCAATCGATCTAATAAATTTAAATTGCTAAGGAGTAATCAGTGTATACATATAATTTAGGGTTCTGCTTTATTCATTGAGCATTACATTTTAAACACTGTCTTCATTGGCATTTTGAATGGTTACATAATCAAACTGATTATGTAATTATATCATTTGCCATTTAGGTTGCTTTCAAATTTTTACTCTAATAAATAATACTGCAGTAAACATCTTCACATATATAAACCAGAGCACACAATCGGCAGACCAGTGTAACCCACAGGTATGTTTTATTAGCTCACAGTGCTTTTAAAAACTATTAACATCCTACATTTCTTAAAATTAGGATTTTAATAAAATCCAGGGTATTGGATTCTTTTGAAAGTTCTGTATTTGGCCACAGTGGGTGCCCCATTCCCACATGACACATCAGTCCATGCAGAGAAAGTGCCCTTTAGAAAGGCCTCCTCAGTTTCCACCTCTCCCTAGTATTCTCTCTCTCTCACTTCACTCATTTTTGTTACCTGCCAGGCTCCCAAGTTTTGTGATCCCCAATAGAAACTACCTCCTCTCATCCCACTCAATTAGTTCCTGAGTATAAGTTCTCAGAGTGAGGTTACTGGGCCCTATTTCTCAAACTTTACACCCAATCAGTCAATCAATCAATCAATACATGCGATCATTTGAACGTGAAAACAAGTCTCTGTGAGCATTTCTTCTTTCCATCCTTTTCGCTGCACTGTATCTCCTAAGTATTTTTACCTCCAGTTGCTTTTTCAAATCTCTCCTGACCATCATCTTTAGGTTAAATTTTGATAATAAAGGAAGAACATTAATATGGATGGATCATCACAGTGACATTTCTTACATTTTCTCATTTTTCACTTTAAAAACATTTTGTTATTTTGTTACTGAAATAACTGAATTCCTCTAATTATCTTTCTTATATACTGATCCCAAATTTCTTTATCATTTTTAGATGACTCTGAGATTTTATCTTTCATTCATCTCAAGCCACATGGGCTCAAAATGGAAACAGCATTGATCAGAATCATGATTAAATAGGATTTTTAAAGTATACACTATTAGTAACACAGGAGCAGTTTCAATATCACAGCCCTAAGTAGAAAGGCAATACAAACTAAGATATCCTGCTCATATCTTTAAAATTCAAATCTCACAAATAATGCAGCTTTTTACGATGGTATTACATTTGTATTCATATTTATTCATCTAAACAGAAAAGTGTTATCTTAATCATTAAGTGCTCTCTTTCCTAGCTCATATCTGTGATGTGAGTGCACTACTGCCCCAAAATGCCAATCAATGCTTCTCTAATTATAGAGTTCTGTCATCATATAATACTTAAGAGCCATTAGTTTTCTGCCATCACATAGTATTTGAAACCAAGACTATTCGATCTTTAATGCGTCTTTTATGTTGACTCAATAAGAAACCCTATTAGAATACTTTTTGCTTTCATGTAAGAGCCACTAGAGTTTTCTGCCATCACACAGTATTTGAAACCAAGACTATTCGATTTTTAATGCATCTTTTATGTTGACTCTATAAGAAATCCTATTAGAATACTTTTTGCTTTCATGTATTTCTTCAAAAGATTTAGTCATGTTTCTTAAGCTATTTTTTCCAGTCTAAATGATTCACTGCAGATTACTATGGACTTAGGCACAGTGTAATAAACGGCTGATAAAACCCAATTTTGAGTATGTGTGGCTCAAAGAGCATTGAAAAATATATTAATTTTTCCCAATATAACATATTAAATATAAATCTATAAAAACTCTTCAAAATTAGATTTTGCCCCAAGTCTGACAATCCTTTGCTAGAAACCAGACCCTATGGTTAAGAGAGGTTCAAGACAGGCATCTAAGGGAAATGTGAGTCCTTCAACTTCACTCTGGCATCATTAAGTAAATCATTCCTCCAAAGCATTAGTGATGGGGAAATCACTTAGTAGCCTAGCAAGACAATTTAAAATACTGACTTTCAAAAAACTCCCCTGAAACCAGAAACACTTGCACTATAATAATTATTACCATCTTGGGAAAGTAAGTTCTTGGCTGCTTATATGATTAAAACTTCTTCCTCCCACAAAAAAGTGTTACCTGCATGACGAAGCCAAACTACTGCAAGGTTGTATCTTTCAGAGCAAACAAGAGCACTGAGGAGGGGAAGTGCAGAATTATATTCACCAACATCCAGAAAAGCTTCAGCAACATCTAGGTATAGGTCTCCCATATCTTCAGGATTCTGTTCTACTAGTGTTGTCAAGAGAGGCTAGACCACAAATAAAAGCCCCAAGTTAAACATTCATTACAAACGTGCACATCTATCTATAGCTTTTTTTTTTTTTTTGAGATGAAGTCTCTCCCTGTCACCCACGCTGGAGTGCAGTGGCACAATCTTGGCTCACTGCAACCTCTGCTTGCTGGGTTCAAGTGATTCTCGTGCCTTAGCTTCCTGAGTAGCTGGGATTACAGGTGCATACCACCAGGCCCAGCTAATTTTTGTATGTTTAGTAGAGACAAGGTTTCACCATGTTGGCCAGGCTAGTCTCAAACTCCTGGCCTCAAGTGATCTACCCTCCTCGGCCTCCCAAAGTCTATAGCTCTCTTTTTAACCTACATATCAGTTATAAGAGGCAAGCTGAAAAGGAGCAAGGCTTAATAAAAACAGCGTTATATGGTCATTTTTCTGTTCACTTCTGCCATCTTTATTTTAAATAACTCATACCCAGTGAACACATTTTGTGGATCTGTTTAAAGACAGGCATTGCAGGAACTAAGACACAGCTCATCTGTTTTGCTCTTCGTCTAACCAGCACAACGTCTTGTGCCTCAGGGCTTCTGTGTTTGCTAATGTTTTTGGAAAGTTGTTTCCTTAGATATCCCCATGGTTTACTTCCTCACCTCCTTCAGGTCATTATTCAAATGTCACCTTGTTTGTTTGTTTTTGAGACAGGGTCTGCAGTCTCTACCTCCTGGGCTCAAGCAATCCTCCCACCTTACCTCCCAAGTAGCTGGCACTACAGGTGTGCGCCACCACACCCAGCTAAATTTTTTGTATTTTTTGTAGGCGTAGGGTTTCACCATGTTGCCCAGGCTGGTCTTGAACTCCTGAGCTCAAGAGATCTGCCCGCCTCAGCCTCCCAAAGTGCTGGGATTATAAGTGTGCACCATGGTGCCCAGCCAAATGTCACCTGATCCCCTATTGAAAACTGCAACTTTCCCCTGCCCCCAATATTCCTTATTTTCCTCCTTTTTTTTCCAGAACACTTATCACCAGCCAATGTCCCGTATATGTTATGTATTTATTTTATTATCTAATCCCATTAAAACAAAAAAGCATCCCAACCCATGAGGGTATGGATTTGTATATTTTACTCAATATCTTATCCTAAGGTTTACAAAGTAGATGCTAAGTACTTTTTTTTTTTCAATAATATACTTGGTCCAAAGTCCGCAAAAAAGAATAGCTGTCAGAATTATTACCAATTATCTAATGACAATCTCAAATGGTCTAAAGACAATCTCAAATTATGATCTTTAGATTGTTATTTTAAAAGAAAAATAAATTACTGTAAGCCCAATTGCAAAACAATTTTAGTTTTTATAAGATATTCATACAAAATTATTTGATGCTTATTGTTACCTCCTTGGTTATTAAGAAATGTGAAACTCTAGGGTCAAGTTATAATTTCTTGACATCTAAAGAAAAGAGATGGTGCATTTGATCTGAAGTATCTCAAGTGCAGATCTTGTTACATACATTAAGTGGTTCAAGAATGTTGAGATGTACAAGGCAGACCATCAACTTCACTGTGATATCTATTGGCACGCCATCAGGTATAGTGCAGGTAACATTCTCAGGAGCTGGAGAATACACAGACAAGAAGCAGTTACTATATGCAAGCTTGAGATGTGTATCTTCTATGTAAGATCTCATTTATTTCATTCAAAGCAAATGATTCCACAGTCAATTCTTAGTGTGGCCAACTCTATTAATAAGTTCTTATATCTCTCTCAGTCTGTCCTTTGGTAGCAAGTATGCTTCCTATTCGATTTCTAATACCTTATGTACTTATCCAAAACTTACTTTCACACCTTCTACTAAACTACGGAGAACTAAAAAGACAAAAATAATGAGGATATATGAACCCTCTCTCTTTTTTTTCTTGAATTGAAAAGTCTCTTTTTAGTGTTCACTAGAAACAGGCTAAGAAAAGGATAAAATAATACTGTGTTATTTTCTAAAACCTCATTACAACAAAATAATTTTTAAAGCCCTGGGAAATTACAGGAATTTTTATCCACATTTAAAGTAGTTTGCAAAGTCTAATAAATTCCAAATAAGTTTACATGTTTTCGTTTCAGAAAAACCTGAAGTATAGAGGACATCACAGATGTATCCTAAGTGGTGAAATAAAAAATTATTCAAGAATTAAATAACTATCTGTTTTACAGAACTTGTCATATAAATTATGACAGTCTTCCATACCTTCAGGTTCCACATATGCAGATTCAATGAACTGCAGATCAAAAATGTTAAGGGGAAAAAAAAAAAAAAAATATATATATATATATATATATATATATATAAAATTAAATAATACAAACTTAAGAAGCAATACAGTTTAACAGCTATTTACATAGCATTTACATTGTATTATTAGGTTGGTGCAGAAGTAATTGTGGTTTTACCATTAATATTATAAGTAATCTAGAGATGATTTAAAGTATACAGGAGAAGGTACATAAGTTATATGCAAATAATACACTATTTTATATAAGGGATTTGAGTATCCAAGGATTTTGGTATGAGGGGTGTCCTGGAGCCAATCTCTCATGAACACTGAGGGGAGACTATATTGCCTAAAATTACCAAGTTATAGGAGGATTCGGACAAGTTTAATTAAGAGACTGTTTTTATCACTGAGCTCTAAGCCAATAACTGGTATCAGAAATCCAATTAATATATTTAGTCTGCTCAACGAGAGAGCAGAATTTACCTACCATGTAAATTTACTCACACTAAGCCCTGAGCTCCATGAGGACAAGAACCATGTCTGACTCAAGGCTGTATCCACAGCACATTTCTTCTGTAGACAGTAGCTAAAGTCACCTGTCTGAGTAAGGACTAAACACAATGCAGTCATTTTAATGAGCCTTTTTCTTTACTAAAATCTGATTCTATCTTTATCATGTATGGGTTCTACATTCCAACTGTATCACTTTGATTTTCATTCTAGAAATGCTGTTTGCTAACAGTCTGAAATGTTGGTGTCCCACCAAAATACCTGTGTTGATACCTAATGCCCAAGGTTATTAAGAGGTGGGTCTTGGGAGGTGCCTATGTGGGTGGGATTTGTGCCCTTGTAAAAGAGGTCTGAAGAAGCTTGTTTGTCCCTTTTGCCACGTGAGGACACAGCAAGAAGGCACCATCTATGAGAAAAGGGCCCTCACCAGACACCAAATCTGCTGGTGCCCTGGACTTCCTAATCTCCAGAACTGTGAGCAATAAATTTCTGTTGTTTATACATTACCCAGTCTAAGGTCTTTTGTTAGAGAGTCCAAACGGACTAAGACACTGTTCAATAAAATATATCTACGTGTTTTAACTTTCAGCAAGAAAATTATAGTATATGAAATACTTTATATCTCGGCATAGGCCTTAAAAATATAGTGTGTATAGATGCATAGGTCAAAAACCCTGCTTTCATATCAAATCACAAAGTAAAACTCAACCTTATGTTGAATGCAAGATGTATACCTAAAATCAAGTGATTCAGGAAAGCTGAAAATAAAAGGACAAAGGTATAGCAGGCAGGTGCAAACAAAAAAAAAAAATAGGTGTCACAATCTCAATATGAGACAATGTAGAATTCAGACCAACTATATTTAAAAAGGTAAGGAGGTCACTTCATAATGCTACAGGGCAGTGCTACTCAAACTAGTCTGGGACCTGTGCAGGTAAACAAACTGTTACCAGTTCAATCAGGTAAGTATGGAGATTGAGAGTAAGTATTTAGATACTTTAATGGCAACTTGACAATGCTAAGGAAAGCAGTATATATATTTATAGCCCCTACAGCTTATATATTATTAACTAACATTTAACATACACTATCTTTTAAAAAGCTTGTCTTTGTGTCACTGATACTTTATTCTCCTGAACTCCCATTAGGTCTTTCACATTCAGAAGAATTTAAAAATGTGACTGTCAATAGACAATACATAATCTACCATAAATGGTCTCATTTTTTAAAATGCATACTAAAAAACTACCTTTGCTCACTTTGTATCTGTTTTAATCTCCTAGTCTTCTGGACATATCTTTTTCTTTAAAGTTATTTCATCAACACTAAGCTGCCAGATTTCAGATGCACCGTTATTTTACATGCTAAAAAATAAAGAAGCCACTACTTAAACTCTAACCTGTTGTTGATTTATGTTAATATGTGCCAGGAAGGAAGGGAAGGAGGGAAGGAGGGAGGGAGGGAGGGAGGGAAGTAAAATATATTAAACAACAAAATGATTATATCTACAATTAAAACTTGAACAGAACTTGGTATTTCTCTACCAAGTTTTCCAAACAAAGGACAGATTTTCAACACAATTAAGAAGAAAAATCTTAAGCAGAAATTATGACAGTAAAATAATAACTTCATTGGGCCTTGGCTCGTGCCTAAGCCAGGTCCTAGTAAAGTATCAAAACTGGCAAAGCCTCCTTCACATGCCCTAATCCATGCTTTCATCCACAATTTCTACTCCTTATTCTACTCATTCACACCACCCTGATGACTCAACAGCCCCAACCACAGCCTGTGATCTGGTCCTGCTCTTCCAAGCAGTGCTCCTACACCCTGTGACTCAATCTGGATCACACTCCCCATGGGTGTCTGCTTAAATTGGGCCTCTATAAACATCTTCTGATCCTTGTATACTGCTCTCCTCTATTTTCCCATAACATCAACTTTGCTACAGAAATTATCACACAACTCTTAAAACTGTATGCACCTCATTTGAACGCCTCTTCCCGCCTCCACTTCCTTGAGAGCAGGAAATATCATACTCATCTGCGTAGTCTCCACACACCTAGCAGTCCCTTACAAGAAACTTACTGAACTGGGTTTCCCTTCCCCAAAAACTTTCCACTTCAACATTTATCTGTCCCACATCTCACCTTGGGCCTTACTCTCTATGAATTAGCACAGATTGGCTTGTGTAAGTGAATTACTGCTCACCATTAGGATGGATCATGTTTTAAGTAACAGTTTTTGTTTTTGAATAATGATGCCTTAGCCCAAAGGATTACATAATGATGGAATTTTTAGGCATCATGACAGGCCACGGAAGGAGCTGTTATGAACCAGGCAGGACTCAGTACCAACTCACTTGGTCCTTCCACAAATTCCATCAAAATCCTCACAGTGTAGGGGTTGAAGGTACTATACAGGAATTCTCTTACAAGAGCCGGGTTATATACTCTGCTCATAAAGATCAATTTTGCTACAACTTGATGTAGGGTCTTGAATGTTAATATTTTTACAGAATAGGTTAATGAGTATGGTACAAAGAGACTGCAAGCCACACTTAGGTATAACTTTCTAACCAGATCACTAATTATATATTTGAGTTTTCAAACAATGTAGGGTAATCATATTAGTTTCTACTTATTATGTGAATGCTTAAGCTTAAAGTCAAATGTTTTAAGTAAGAGCATTTTAGGTCCTATTTGAAAAGTAAATTGCTTCAGTGCTAAAAGTTTTTGATAAACTTCAGTAATTCGTTTTTTTTCCTAAAAAAAGGAATGAAAAAGACTGTCAATGAAAAATGCCATGTTCAAATGGACATACAGGGACTCAAAACAAATTTTTTTAAAGATTACTTGTAAGTCAATACTCACAAGATATGAAATCTCTGAGAAAAAAATGCTTCTTGGGAAAACTTATTATGAGAACATTAACTATCAACTCACCACAGTATGAAATAAATTTTCACCATAAAACGCCACCTTATGACCAAGAGAGGATTATATACACTTTCCTAAGCAGAGGAAACTACAACCTTTATTCTCTTCTGAGGTGCCTTCTTCTGAAGTTTTTTTTTCCAGCACAATTCCAGAAAAATCTGTAATTATCTAAAAGAATGGGAAAGAAGAAAGGAAATAAAATATGTGTGAAAAACCATTTCATAATGCAAAGATTTGTACAGTTATTTCAAATAATCCCTAATATAAAGTTGGGCTATAAAAAGAAAGAGTCTTTTAAAAATGAGAAACCCTGTGACACATTAACATTTTAATATCCTATTAACTAATGCAAACTCAATGTATATAACTTCTTTATATCAAACCAACCTACTTTCCCCCAACCAGCTTAAGAACTAAATCACAGCAATTCATCTGACTGTTGAGTCCTACTACCCTGAAGTACATACTTAGCACCTGTGACAATGGCAATATTTTTTATTATGTAACTACACTTCATATTTCATACTGAATTGCTACAGAATCTAGAAATCACTTGTTTCCATATAGACTTTAAATATATACATAATTTAACTAAAACGAAGAACTGCCAATTTTTAAGAATTTCCAGAACACAGAAACACATGCAAAACTTAACAGAGAAACACATAAGCATTCCTACCTCCAAAGCTTTGTCATACTGTTTGTTAGAAATATATAGTTCAGCTGCTATGTTAACATCTTCCATGGAGACTAGGCCCTGGTGTTTTGAGAAAGCTTCATCAATTATGTTAATAGCAGAAGTAACATCATTGGCTTCATAGTAACTCCTAAAAAAAAGTGGCAAAATGGATGAATATTTACTTAATTCCAATTATAAAACTCATTTCCTTGCTTAGGCTATCTAACAATGAACAGTGATTTTCATTTTCTTAGAATTTGAGAGGAATGTGTATTTCCTTAAAATCGTAATCAGAACTGATCCAGAAAAAATGTGCAAAGTCAGTAAAACAGTGTCATAATTTCAAGCATCTCACTCTCCAAATGCTACCTCCTATCATTCCAGCTCATTCCCTATGTAATCCAATACCAACTCTTCTACCTCAACAGATCTACAAAGCATAGGTCCTACCACTTTTTCACTATTGCCTACACCCCGCCTGGGCTCACTTTCTTCCTTCTCCATGGCCCAACGTTATAGCTATTCCTTTGCATACATCCTCAGTTCTCTTGCCCTGCACTCTCTTGATCAAAATCACTCAATAAAACTCCAAGCCTGGTTAAAATCCAACTATATCTACTCTTCACCACCACCTGCCCAGCTGACCATGTTGACTGGTCTCACTCTAAACTGATGACCAATAGCCTCAAGCAGGTCCATGGTACTGATGAGCAGTATTACTACAGTTACCTATTTCAGTACTTCTCAAACCTAAATAAGCCTATGGACCAACTGGCTATCTTGTAAAAACGCATATTCGGATCCAGTAGAGCTGGGGCAGGCCTGAGATCCTGCATTTCTGACAAGCTTCCAGGTGATACAAATACTGCCAGTCTGTGGGGCAGTAATGTCCTAGACAACTATTGACATCTCTCTCTTTTCAAACCTCCAGCAGTCTCCCAGTCCCCACTCTCAGTTGATGGCCTTGCTTGACATTTTTACCAAGAAAAGAGAATTAAATCAGAACATCCCACATATTTCCAGCACATCTACCTACTTACCAGTATCTTTGGCCATATCATCTGCCTTCCCCTTTATCAAGGATAAATAATTGTATACATGAAAATAACCCCTAGTTTGATCCCATTCCCTATGATCTACTTAAGGATATTGCTCAGGCAATTGTCTCTTCCCTCACAAATCTTCAACGTGTCCCTCAATTTTTGATTACTCCCATCTAAATAAAGATAAATGGTAATTTTTCCCAACTTAAAAAATTCTCCCACCCCTACAACCCATTCCTCTGCTCCCCTTGCAAATTCCCCCAAAGTTGTCCATCCCCCATACCGTCTCCAATGCCTCTTTCCATTCTCTTTTTAACCTAATCCAATCAACTTTTCCTCTCCCCATTCTGCCAATATTTCCAATCTCCTTGTTACTAAATCTGTCAATTCTCAGTGCTCATTTTACGTGATCTATCTGCAATATCTCACACAGATGATCATCCCTCCTACTTGAAGTTCTTTCTTCAATTAAATTCTAGAACATCATGCTGTTCTCAGTTTCCTGCTACTTCACTGGCCATTTTCTTTTAGTCTCCCAGCTGTTTCTTCTTCTTTCTGATTTCTAAACATTGAAGTGCCTTAGGGTTCAGTCCTCTATACCCTGTCCACCTCCCCAACCCACCCCTCATATTCAATACATCAGAAAATCTTGAGAGCTCAGCCTTCAAAATACATACATAATCTGATTACTTCGTACCAGTTCCTGCTGCTTCCATCCTGGTCCACGTTACCATTTTCCCTTCTATGTATCACTACAGTAATTTCCTAACTGGTCTCCATGCTTCTGCCCTTCCACTGTTCAATCTATTCTCAAAAGAGCAGCCAGAATTGATGCACTTAAAATTTAAGTCAGACCATGTCACTTTTCTACTCAAAATCTTCCAGTGACTTCCATACTCATTCAGAATAAAAGCCAAAGCCCTTACAATAGCCCAAAAGGGCTAAATGATCTATTCCTGATACCTCTCTGCACTGCTCCCCTTAATTCTTCAGCTTCCCTAACCATACTTTGCACTTCCTGTTTCCTTTACCTGTGATACTCTTCCCTGAATATCTGTTCTCGTACCTACTTCAGTTCACCTTTAGTCAGTATGACCATAATACAGAGAATTATGTCCTTCTCTAACCAGTCTATCTTAAAATAACACACCCCCACCACATACCTCAAATTCCTATCCCTTTTTCCTGCTTTGTTTTTCTTCATATCACTTATCAACATCTGATGTACTATATATTTAGCTGTTTATTTATTGCCTATGTCTCCCACTGAAATGTAAGCTTTACAAGAGTAGGGGATTTTTAAAACTTGTTCAATAGTGGATACCCTGGTCTCCTGTATAGTACCTAGTGCCAAAGATATATTCAATAATATTTCTGGAGGGAAAGCAGGGACCAAAGGGAAAGCCTAAACAGAAGTTACAGTGATAGAATTCCACATAGGAAAGACCTCAATGGCAGTGGCAGAACTGACAATCATCACTCTTTCCCAAAAAAGTATTATATCTAATAGAAGTGGAAAACCAATTTACTATCATAGGCCACCTAACATTTCACAAAGTCAAAGGCTACTGGACTAACCACTGTGACAGCTATAGATTTAACTAACAGCAAATAACCTGGGAAGACCCTCAGTGCTCATTGTATTCCATCAGAGATCAACTTAGGGTTGCCTTGCCTCAACAAATTTCCTAGAAATGTTTTCTAGTAGTCCTATGTAACCCACCCCTGGGAGGGTAAGGGACAGTTTCACAGCTAAGCATCATTGTGATAAAGGCCATGGAATTAATAGGGTCACCCCTAATGTACCCTGATGGAGATGGTTACTCCTAGAACAAAATATCATATGGTATCTCTAGAATGGAAAGCATATCACAAGGCATTACTCAGCAAAAATGTTTCCTACTTTGTTTTGCTGCGCAGCATACCAGAGAAGTAAATGCAGTAGGGCATATTTTAGAATAAAATATATACCACAGTCAATAATGTGCCAACTGTAAAAGAGAATTTTTATAGTCTTAAAATATTATATACTGGCTCAAGATAAAATAATAGAAGATCCCAAATCATTAACATTTCACTGGCACATCTGCAATAAAAAATAATTTTTTAATTATTGCAAATATACACACTTTTGACTAAGTTTGGAAACCTGAGAACCTACTCTTCCTTTTAGGACATGTCCCATTTTTAAGCCTCTGAGCACTTGAAATGTAACCTTATATACACAATTTTCTAAGCAATGACACAGTTGACTTGGAAACAGAAAAGTACTGAAAATTCGGTACAATCTAAAATACAGGGCTGGGCACGGTGGCTCATATGTGTAATCCTAGCATTTTGGGAGGCCAAAGCAAAAGAAATGCTTGAGGTCAGGAGTTCGAGACCAGCCTGAACAACACAGCAAGACCCTGTCTCTACAAAAAAAAATTAAAAATTAGCCGGGTGTGGTGGCGTGCACCTACAATCCCAGCTATTTGGGAGGCTGGGTGAGAGGATCACTTGAGCTCAGAAGTTCACGGCTGCAGTGAACTATAAACATGCCATTATACTCCAGCCTGGGTGACAGAGCAAGACCCTGTCTCAATAAACAAAACAATAAAACACATAAGGCAAAACACTTCTTGAACTTCAATGAAAAGTACATTCTATTCCAAATATATGCTTTGATTTGCAAAACAAGATTAACAGGAGCAAGTAGATCTGTTTCACTCCAAACTTACTTTGCCATATCTCTAGCCAGCTGCATAAAACGTTCGCCATCAGATGGAGACAAAAGGTTTAAAATACGCCTATAACCATCCATGGCCATTTTATGATCACCCATCTGTTCATAAAGGCTTGATCGCTCCCACAGATAACGGACATTAGTAGGTTCATATTTAAGAGCTAAAAAGAAAGAAATACAAATTATTTACCACAAAAAGGGGTGCATGGTACCTGGGTGTGATCCATCATCTCAGAAAATTTAATAAGCAAACTAATCCATCAAATGGAACCAAGGGAGTTATTCTGAATAAATCTATATTCACAGGAACTCTTGACTAGGTTTGATGTAAGAGCAGATAGAATCTGAATCTCAACAGTAATCTTCTTAATGTGGTCAATCTAGTCTGATGTTAATCCTCAAGGAACAGCTTAGAACCAACACTGATCTTAGTGAGAAACTGAAGGTACTGTTCATCTACCAACTTTCGTGTTGTATTATCTCACAACATTCAAAAAGTCCCTGATAAACATGAGAACAGAGGAACCCCAAATACTTACCTCTAGAGCAACACACAATAGAAACAAATTTATCTCAGCCAATATCACACCCCAGAATAGCAAATACAATGATCAAAAAACCTATTATGTAACAGCTTGTAAAAGTGAAAAAAAAAAAAAATTTTAATTACCTTTTGTATAGCAAAAAATAGCCTGCTTAATATTGTCTTGTTCCAGAGACATTTCTGCCAGTCTAACCCATTCTTCTGTGTCACTGGGATTTAAATGCGCAGCAATCAACTCAAACTGCAATGATTTTTCCATGTCACCTTGGTCCTCATATATCATGGCTAGAGTAGAGAATGGCTCATAAGCCAGAGGAGCTATAACAAATTAAAAAAATAAATTCCATTGGCTGAGAGAAGAGGCTTGAGTTGATGTCCATCCCATGGTTCAAACTGTATGTCTTTTTTTTAAATACCTAAACTCTTCAAATCACTCTAGCAGAATTATACAAACTGCTTAAGGCAAGTTGAAATAAATGCTAGATTATATCTGCTTTATTTTCATACATTTTTAGCATTTTTAAAGCAGTTTTCTCTAAGCAAGGTATAATTTCATGAAAAATCCTAATCTCTACCACTTCTTCCTCATGAAAATCCCCCTTTGCTCAGGATAAACATGGCTCAATATCAGCAAGTTCATCCTAATAAACACCAGCCACATCAGTGGGGTTGAATCTTCATGATTTAGCTCCCACACCAAGGAGTATGGTATGAATGAACAGATGATACCTAAGCAGCAGCTAAACGGATATCAAAGTGACTGGCTAATCTACATTTCTGAAATACTGTTTCTGAAACAAAATTCAAAGATTATGAAGTATTAAAGTCAAAGATTTTTGTCAAGAACAATTATAAACTAAAATAAAGGAACAAATAATATTGGAAAGTAGGAACCAAATGAAATATACTAAAGGAAAAAGTCTGTTTAATCTTAAGCAGTAGCCTCAAATTACCCTAATGAATAATCCAGGAAATTATAATAAGACTTCTAAAAGGACCCTAGTCTAACCAAAAAGAAATGCCAAACTATTGAAAAGATAAAAGTTCACTGTATTACAGCTATCCAAACCACTCTGCAGAGCATAATTTGGCAAAACATCAAGGAAACAAAACAATAAATATAAGTAATTAGTTAAAAAAAAATCACACTGAAGATATCATTTAATATGTCCAAGATACACCATTTAACTGAGAGATAAGATGACAAGTTTAAACTGTCTTTTACCAAAAAAATAGAGTAACATAATCTAGTACTGCATGATCTAGAAAAGAAAAGGAAAAAAGAAAGCTCTTCAAGTGGCTTTAACATAATATATTTGCCATACTGACAATTCAAAAGTCTAAATCTCTCAACTGAAACATTAGAAAAAAAAAGTAACAGTGAAATTCAACAAATATTAATGACATCTCATTGACTCATACTCTGAGATTTTCATTTTCTTGTGAAAAGTGGCAATTACCATTACCACAATCACCCTTAAGCTTCTGAACATATTTTCCAAATAGTACTGTGAAGTGCTCCCCCATTTGTTTTAAGTCAGACTATTAAACTGCTATTATTAACAAAGTCCCCACAGAAAACACCTTGTCTTATGATTTCCATGCACATCAATATCGCCTCTTCACGTTCTCCTCGAGCAAAACGAATGTTGGCTTCACCCATGAGACCTCTCAGAGCTCTGGGAAGTTTACTCCGAGGCCTTTTCTCCTGTATGGAAGAAAAATGACATTTAGATTAAAATATAGTGAAGTCTTAGATTTCAATTCCAGCCATATTAATAAATATAGCATATAATGAAACTGAAATTTTCCTTTAAAAATTTTCAGTTTTTGCAACCCAGAACTAAATAGTTGCAATTCTAATTGACTCTTTAACATTAAAGTTTATCGAGTCTAAAATTGGCCATACATGGTGACTCATTCTTGTAATCCCAGCACTTTGGGAGGCTGAAGCAGGCGGATCACCTGAGGCCAGGAGTTGGAGACCAGCCTGGCCAACAGAGTGAAACCCGTCTATACTGAAAATACAAAAAAATTAGCCAGGCATGATGGTGCACACCCACAATCTCAGCTACTTGGTAGGCTGAGGCATGAGAATCACTTGAACCTGGGAGGCGGAGGTTACAGTGAGCCAAGATCACGCCACTGCACTCTAGCCTGGGTGACAGATCAAGACTGTCTCATTTAAAAAAAAAAAAAAAGTCTAAAACTCAATTGCAGGAAAAAAAAAAAGTGGTCAGAAGTTACTAAATTACTAATTAGAATAATAACAAATGTAGAGCTGGATGCTGCAAAATGCATTTATATTCCAGAATTATGATGTAATTTACTGAAGATCCCCCTTCTTTCAAATTTATCCACTCAAAATGAACTTGTTTAAAAAAGTATCAAAGGGTTATAGTATGGACACAGACATATTTTTTAAGACAGGGTCTCACTCTGTTGCCCAGGCTGCAGTGCAGTGGAGTGATCTCAGCTCACTGCAGCCTCGACTTCCCGTGCTCAAGCATCCTCCCACCTCAGCCTCCAGAGTAGCTAGGACAACAGGAGTGCACTACCACACCTCGCTAGTTTTTTAAAAAGTTTTTTGTAGAGACAGAGCCTCACTATGTTGCTCAGGCTGGTCTCCAACTCCTGAGCACAAGCAATCCTCCTGCCTCAGCCTCCCGAACTGCTGCCATTACAGACATGAGCCACTGTGCCTCACCAGTATGGACCTTTTAATAGCAAAAGCGCAGTCCATTTTGACATAAGCAATAATTAAGGTTTTGTCTGTGTGTCTGTGTGTGTGTTAGATTCTACCTTTCTAGCATTTTTTAAAAAATAAATGGCCCAATTGGTTTAAATGAGCCACTTTGCTTTGACTTTATTTATTTATTGTGTTGTACTGTATTTAATTTTTTGAGACAGGGTCTTGTTCTGACACCTAGGCTGAAGTGCTGCAGCCTTGACTTCCCCAGGCTCAGCTGATCCTACCTCAGCCTCCGGAGCAGCTGGGCTACAGGCACACCACCATGCCCGGCTATAATTAAGGTTTTACATAAACATTATCTAATAGGAAACATAATAAACAAATAACAATAGTTGTGTCATAGTATTTCCTTTCGTACAGTTTGAATTGTTTCCCAGGTATAACTTACAGACTTCAATTACTATGTCACTTTCTTCATTGTTTATAAATACCAAAATAAGTAAAAATTTACTTTCATCATTTTCTTGGTTTCACGATTGAGAACCATCTCCAATACAAATACATCGCCCGCAGTGGGTTGCTCAGGTGTTTCTTCCTCCTCCTCCTCCTCCTCCTCTTCTTCCTCTTCCTCCTCATCATCTTCATTCTCTCCAAGCATGGAAGCAAAGACCTTGTGAACTGACTTCCTCACTCCATCTGATGTTTCTCCTGAGAAAAGAGACATTGATGGGGGAGGGGTGGGGAAGCTGCAGAATTCTCAGTGAAAAACAAGTATTTTCTAAGTATAAATTTTTACCCCAGTAACACCAAATTTGAAAGTAAAAAATAGCAAATGAACACCCTCAAAAACCAAACCAAAGAAGAAAGTTATCACAAAGCCATGTATTTTATTATATAGGAACAGCTGACTCATCCTTTAGGCCTCATCCAGATTTACAGGCAAAATTAACTGAAAAATCAGAAGCACACACAATAATACAGAAGAAAAAAAATAGAAGAATTATAAGACATAGACCTAAGAACTAAACAAGCCTAGCAGTACGGAGCCCTGGTGGTATACGATAGTGGTTAAAAGTGAGGGCTCTAGAGCCAAGCTGCCTGGTTCCAAACTTCATCTCCATCTATCACTAGCTGTGCAACCTAGGGGAAATTACTAAAGCTGCTCTATACATCAGTTTCTTTTTGCAAAAAGGGTTAATAATAATTTATAGGGCTACTCTGAGGACAAAATGAGTGTGAGTGTGTGTGTGTATATATACACTTAGAATGCCTAGCATATAGTAAACGCCTATTAAATGCTATTATTAGTATTAAAATAGCTTTATTATTTCAGGAAAAAAATAACATGACATAGTTCATTTGTATCTCAGGATACCACCATAGTATAATATAATGATTTTTGAATGTCAATAATTATGACTTTGAATTATCAAGAAAATGTGAAGTGCAGAAGCCAATTTTCTGTTAAAGCAGAGACATTGCTATGGTTTGAATATCTGTCCCCTCCAAGTCTCATATGGAAATTTAATCCCCAATGTGCGAATATTGAGAGGTCTTTAAGAGGGGACCTTTAAGAGGGACTGGGTCATGGGGCTGTGCTCTCATGAATAGATTAATCCATTCATGATTTAATGGGTTATCATGGGAGTGGGACTGGTGGCTTTACAAGAAGAGGAAGACAGACCTGAGCTAGCATGCTCAGCTCCCTCACCATGTGATACCCTACATCGTCTTGGGACTCTGGAGAGTCTCCACAAAGGTCCTCAACAGATGCGGTTCCTCTGCCTGGGACTTCTCAGCCTCCCTAACTATAAGAAATAAATTATTTTTCCTTATAAATTACCGAGTTTCAAGTATTCTGTTATAAGCAACGGAAAACACAAAGATAGACATGTAACATATTTCTAGAAAAGTTCCAACAAAATAGTTAAAATTTTAAGTATATATAGAGAGATATATTTATGTTTATATCTCTCTATATATGTGTTCAAAATATATATGTATTTTTTGAGATGAAGTTTTCCTCGTTTCCCAGGCTGGAGTGCAATGGCGCAATCTCAGCTCACCGCAACCTCCACCTCCCAGATTCAAGCAATTCTCCTGCCTCAGCCTCATGGGGTAGCTGGGATTACAGGCATGTGCCACCACGCCCAGCTAATTTTGTATTTTTAGTAGAGACGGGATTTCTCCATGTTGGTCAGGCTGCTCTCAAACTCCCGACCTCAGGTGATCCACCCACCTCGGCCTCCCAAAGTGCTGGGATTACAGGCGTGAGCCACTGAGCCCAGCCAAAAACTCTTTTTTTTTTGAGAGGGAGTCTCACTCTGTCGCCCAGGCTGGAGTGCAGTGGCACGATCTCAGCTCACTGCAGCCTCCACCTCCCAGGTGATTCTCATGCCTCAGCCTCCCGAATAGCTGGGATTACAGGCATGAGCCACCACACCTGGCTAATTTTTGTATTTTTAGTAGAGATGGGGTTTTGCCATGTTGGCCAGGTTGGTCTCGAACTCCTGACCTCAGGTGATCCACCCACCTTGGCCTCCCAAAGTACTGGGATTACATGCGTAAGCTATCATGCCCAGCATTTTTTTTGTTTTGTTTTGTTTTGTTTTTTTTAGACAGAGTCTTGCTCTGTCGCCCAGGCTGGATTGCAGTGGTGCGATCTCAGGTCACTGCAGCCTCTGCCTTCTGTCTTCAAGCAGTCCATCTCAGCCTCCCTAGTAGCTGGGACTACAGGCTTGTGCCAACACACCCAGCTAATTTTTCTATTTTTAGTAAAGATGGGGTTTCACCATGTTGGCCAGGCTGGTCTTAAACTCCTGGCCTCAAGTGACCCACCCACCTCAGCCTCCCAAAGTGCTGGGATTAGAAGCTTGAACAACTGCACCTGGCCTGTGTTCAAAAACTCTTACGCATACTCACTTATGTGAAATACTTCAAATGAGATAATCAGTGTTTAATGAAGAATAGATTTTAAAAGCTACATGTTCTGAGCAATAAATATTATTTTGAAGTCATAAGGATCATATTCAAGAATTCTGAACATTCAAAATAAAGATGAAAAGAAATGTGTAAAATTTATCAGAGGAACAAAAGAACAAAGGAACAAAAGAAGAAAAATCGTATGATCCATCCTGATAGAACGAAGCATTTGATAAAATTCAATACCCATTCCTAATAACAATTCTTAGTCAACTAAAAATGAAAGGGAGTATCTTTTATTTCATGAAGAGTATCTACAAAAATTTTCCACAAACACAGTTGATGGTGAATTACTGAATGTTACTAAGAATGAGACAAAGTTGCCTACTGCCACCACTTCTGTTCAACATTTTACTGGAGGTCCTAGCCAATGTAATAAGAAACAAAAGGCATAAAGATGGCAAGGAAAAAATAAAATTATTAAGTCACAGATGACATGATTATATACATAGAAGACCCAAAATAAATCTACATACAAACTATAAGAATAATTTAGCAAGGTTGCTGAACACAAAGTCAATATATAAAAATTATAGTTTAATATATCAGCAAATGAATTGAAAATGAAATTAAAAGATGATCCTATCTTCAGTGTGTAAGAACGGTGTGAACAGCAAGAATTTAGTGGTGTATTTAGTACTGTCCAGAGGAAAAGGACAACTAGTGACCATATATTTCAATTAGCTGACTGCCAAAGCTTGTTCAAAACTGACCCCTTCTGCTCTGAATACATGCTCATACTCACCAAGAGTCTTGGTAGAGTTCTGGGACAATTCCTTACTAGGAAATTAGGAGCTTCACATCTTAAAAGGATGTATGACATTATCTGAGCTGAAGCCAGCCAGTCCTTGTGGGCCTGACTGCTCATCATGAGCCTGAATTGGACTCAGCTCACTCCTTTTTTAGGGCCTGATGGCTAGCTTTTGGGAGCAGCTTTAGGTAACAGGACTGACAGGCACCCACTTGTGCCTGCTGCTATAGTAGCAACTTAAACACCTGAGGAAAAAAGAGCAGCTCCTCCCTTCAGCAGATAAGGAAGGACACACAAATTGTGAGAACAACTTCAGTCAGCTGCCTTTTTTTCTTCATCTTTTAAGTTCAGGAGTACATGTGCAGGATGTCCAGGTTTGTTACATAGGTCAACATGTACCATGGTGGTTTGCTGCACAGATCATCCCATCACCTAGATATTAAGCCCAGCATCTATCAGCTGTTCTTCCTGATGCTCTCCCTCCCGCAACACCCCTAATCCAAAAGGCCCCAGTGTCTGTTGTTTCCTCACCCCCTTTTGTCCCTGTGTTCTCATCATTCAGCTCCCACTTATAAGTGAGAACATGCGGTGTTTGGTCTTCTGTTCCTGTGTTGGTTTGCTGAGGATAACGGCTTCCAACTCCATCCATGTCCCTGCAAAGGACATGATCTCATTCCTTTTTATCAGCTGCCTTTTCCACCCCACTTTCCTGGCAGAATAAGAAACTGTAACCCCCAGTTTTCCCTCCTCTTTGCCCTTTTTTCCTCACTTGGTCCAGGGAGGTAGGAACAAATCTTGTTTGTTTTCTGCCCATGCTATGACTGTCTGTTCTCTGTGTAAACACTTACTTGTTTTGAGGGAAAAGAACCAGACTGTACTTCTAACCCCTAGAACTAGACAGTTGTTATCAGACCCTATACATGAAGCTACATTCTAACTGACAGTTTAGCATCCCAGTTAACTTGATATGGTAGTAAATGGATACCCTGAGATATTATCAGCATTCTGATCCCTGGAAAAGGGTATCAATCACTGAACATTAATAAATTTGCTTACTAATTAATTAGGCTACGATGAGTTTAAATAGTCTGGGTGCACTAACCAAATTTAATATCTGGACATGCAAAGCTGAGGACTGGATGCTAGAATGAGGTAGCCTACCAAGACACCTGTGCTGTGTGTGAAGTTCCATGAGGGCAACCAACTTGCCTTCCACGCTAACATTTCTATCTTTTCTCCCTGTAACTAAAGCAGTGGTTTGGAAGCCACTTTATATCGAAGTGTAATTCATTACAATTTGAGGAAGTATAGTCTGGAAGTGATTAGTTACCAACTGAGAGGGCCAATTTAAAAAATAATCTTAAAAAGCTCCCAAACAAATACTGATGTCAATTTAAAACACTTTTCCAACACCAGAGCTCACAAAAAATAACCATCAGGGTATTCAATAACTCAACAAATATTTATTGGGCACCTACTATATAACCAAGCATTCTGTTCCTGAAAAACCAGGTAATCAACAACAGAGTATCACTGCCATGAAAATACAATGTTTCACTAAATTACTTTGCTTACATACTCTAAACATTCATTGCAGGAAGCACATAATTTTAACATACCTTCATTGACATCTTTGTCTTGGGATTTGGTAGAGTTAATTCCTGATGATGATGGAACTTCAGAGTCATCGGGATTTTCTTCAGCTGATAACTTGCCTTTTTCCTGAAGACTCTGTGATTGCAAATTAATTAATGATTCCAAAAAATAATGCAGACTTAGCTCTCCCCAGCCACAGAGTATCTGGTTCTAGTCCTAGCTTTGCCACTCGGGCATTTTGTGACCATGGGTTGGCAGTTTATAGAATAGGGCATTTGCCTAATTTTCTATTCCTACAAAACTTGAGCTGTGAACACATACACAGTAGATGGAATCTAAATTTGAATACTGTCAAAGCATTTCAAAGTACTTATATCTTACCCTTCAATCTGTCATTTGTAAAAAAAAATAAATAAAATATCTTAATAATTTCATTAATGAACATATTGTATCCTAATATTTTAAATAAAAAATGACTTGGTGGCTCACATCTGTAATCCAACCACTTTGGGAGGCCGAGACAGGCGGATCCCTTGAGCTCAGGAGTTTGAGACCGGCCTGGGCAACATGAAGAAACCCTGTCTCTACAAAAAATACAAAAATTAGCAGAGTGTGATGGCTCACACCTGTGGTCTCAGCTACTTGGAGGCTGAGGTAGGAGGACTGCTTGAGTCCGGGAGGCGGAAGTTACAGTGAGCTGAGATCGCGTCACTGCACTCCAGCATGGGTGACAGAGCCAGACTCTGTCTGAAAATAAAATAAAATAAAATAAATAAAAAGATAAGTCCCTACTACTCGCATGAATTATTAAAGAATCTGCCGGCCGGGCAAAGTAATCCCAGTACTTTGGGAAGCCGAGGCAGGCGGATCACGAGGTCAGGAGTTTGAGACCATCCTGGCCAACATGGTGAAACCCCGTCTCTACTAAACATACAAAAATTAGCCGGGCATGGTGGCAGGCGCCTGTAGTCCCAGCTACTCGGGAGGCTGAGGCAGGAGAATCGCTTGAAACCAGAAGGCCGAGGTTGCAGTGAGCCGAGATCGTGCCACTGCACTCCAGCCTGGGCAACAAGAGCGAAACTCCGTCTCAAAAAAAAAAAAAAAAAAAGAATCTGCCTTCGAACTTAAAAATTTAAAAAGGTTGCATTACTTTTATTTTCTCTTGCACTTGAAGTAAGCAAGAAGATACAGTAAGTTCAGATATTTCTAAGTATGGGGAAAAAAAAGGTATGGGTGAAGATTATCTTCTTATCGGACAATACTTTTTTATGGACTATTACTTCACACCAGTGGGAGACTCCTCAAAAACAGGAGCTCAATCGTTCCAGTTCAGAAAAGGAGACATTGGGGCCTAAAGAAGAGAAGTGAGCTGTCCACCCACCGTCACAAAACGACTTAGTGGCAAAGCTAGGACTAGAACCTGAAACTGACTCCAAACTCTTCTCCCCACCTCCCATTTAACTTACCAGCGTTAAGCTACCCTGAAATAAAAACGTAGTATTGGGGGAAAAAGAAGAGGTTACCACCAAGACGAAAGCTTTTCGGTGGGGGAAAACGTTTTAAGGAGCTTAGCACAGGGATGAGGGGTGAAAACCGGAGTTTCTGTAAGATAAGGAAGAAGCTGCTGAAAGTTCCCAGCCCGCCCCATCACAGTGAAAGCGGTCGTCTGGGTCCCCCACACCTAAGGGTATGAAGGCAACAAGAGTGAAGGGCACCGTGGCCTAGCATCGCCTCACTTTCTTCTCGCGGGTTTTTCTCTCTTCTCTCCGCCGTTCGAACTCCTCAAAGGAGATTTTCCCTTCCAAGTAGTCGATGAGTTCCGGACTGAACCCTGACATGTTTACAGGGTCTGTCTGTGCAACCCCAGGAACCGGGACAGAGAACCGGAAGAGCAGCGCCTTCCAGAAGCTACCTCGCCGGGGCCAGCAAGAGCAAGGAACCGGCGTCCTTCTGGGAAACTCGCCCGGTCTGCGCCGCAGCTGCAGCACTCAGGTTCCGCGTGCGCGCCAGACCGGGACGTATAAATGGGAGGCGCGACCCATGCTGACTCCCTAGGCCGCGTCTTTCAGCCCTCGTTGAAGGTTATTAGATAGCTCAAAAAAAAAAGTGCTTTAAATATATTTTCTTTAACCTAGGTAATTTCCCTCAATTCTTCACTAAGTGTTAGTTTCATTCTCCCAATCCATTTTTTTTTTTTTTGGAAGGAGTCTCGCTTTGTCGCCCAGGCTGGAGTGCAGTGGCGCGATCTCGGCTCACTGCAACCTTCGTCTCCCGGGTTCAAGCGATTTTCCTGCCTCAGCTTCCCGAGAAGCTGGGACTACAGGCGCCCGCCACCACGCCCGGCTAATTTTTTGTATTTTTAGTAGAGACGGGGTTTCACCATGTTAGCCAGGATGGTCCCTATCTCCTGACCTCGTGATCCTCCCGCCTCGGCCTCCCAAAGTGCTGGGATTACAGGCGTGAGCCACCGCGCCCGGCCTCTCCCAATCCATTTTCTTTTCTGAAGGTTCTTTAAATTAATTTGGTCGCTGCTGTGTGATATTTTTTTCTTAATTTAACCATTTGCTCTGCCATGTGCATGTTTCACTTTCCAGTTCTCTCCTGCTACAGAAAGCTAAAATCCTCCCCCAATGTATGCTTTAAATTTCACTCCCGCCAGTTTTTCCTCCCCGCTCCCACCGCCCCGCGCCCTGCTCCCACCCGGAATCCTCAAACTCTCCCTTTCCTCAAGCACCGTCTCAGTCTGTAAATACGTTCACCTGGGCTTCCTGTTCCACCTCTCCCACCCAAGTTTTCTTCCTTTCCTAACAGCAAACTTTCAGAAAGAACCAAATACTTGATATGGTTACTACACATTGTTGCCCATTTACTATATAATAAATACATAGGCCATCTACTGTTTTATACATATTACATACATATCTCAAAATAACCCTTCCTTCTAAGTGGATGTTATTCCTAACGCTATTGTCTCTATCTAATAAGTAGTAGAGCCAGGATTTGAACCCTGGTTTCTGACTCCAGGTCCTATGCTTGGAACTATAATATACTGCCTCCTCTGAATGGTACGGTTTTTCAACTTCTACACACTCCTGTGATTTATATTTTCCCTTGTATTATAATTATCTATTTGTCCAATTCTAGAGACACTAGCTGTAAATATCTTGGCAACAGCCCTAACTGATGCATCATTGTAAACCCTACTGTATGGCCTAATAATTTGTGCTGAAAACACATTTGTGAATTATATTGGATGGAATTGAAAGTGCCTTTGGAACCTTGGGCAAGGGAGCTGGAGTAGGGGAATGAAGCTCAATATGAAGCTAAGGTTAAAGACAAGTTACAGGGAGAGTATCACCTAGCCATCTTTATGACAATCCTGGTGAGAATAAACAGCAAAAGGATGGGAGAATGAGGGGCCAGGACCTGCAAGGGCAGGACTGCCAAGTGAGAAAAAAAAATATCTCGCAGCTAGAAGTCTTCCCCTTTCTCATGAGGAAGGATCCTCAGAGTCCTACCTGGGTATAAAATATGGAAGGTGAGCAGGGTAGAGTGTGTTAAAGTAATCCACTTAAACCACTTATAGGGAAATTCTCCCCTAAGTTTTTCCAGACAGTGGAGCAATTGTGTCTAAGAGGAATTTAGGAATCTTCAGTCCTAACTCTCCTAGGGGAAAAGAAAAGAAATCAAGTGAGAAGGGATGGTTACCTGTAAGGAGAATACTCTCCTAAGACCCAAATGACTTAGACTATCTTGTCTTATTGCTGGCTATCTGGAATATGGGAATAACAATTCTGGAGATATAGATTCATGTTATGAAGAACAGGAAGCAGTGAACAAGGGGTAGGAGGGTAGTTTTTTGTTGTTTGTTTGTTTTGTGTGTGTGTTTTGGTTTTTTGTTTTTTTTTGGGGGGGGCTATGGAACACCTTAATGACATGAAAGTTATTTTAGAGGTCAGACTGTTGCAACATATCTTGAAATTTCAATCTTTCTGTTTTTCTTTCCCCCACTTCTTTGGAAGAGATTTGTCACCTGATGAGTCAGAGGTATCCACATTACCTTGAGATGAAGTGGAATGGTTACAGCCATAATAAAAATACATTCAGGCTTGTTTGGAAAATCAGAATGGAAAGTCTGAAGGAAGAAGAACATTGAATTTTTACCACGACCATATAATTAAAAGCATACATTCTTTCTTCTTGCCAGGGAAAAGAGCCAGGATGGGCTGTGACCCTATGTGGGAGACTGTTTTTCCATGGCTTTTTCATTGTTCTGAAAAAGCTTTTGATAGCTTTGTTCTAGGCTAGCTTTTCAAGGCTGTTTTCAAATCAAACAGCCTTGAAAGGTGGAGCTATTGTCTCCTTCTGGGGCAGGGAGCAAATTTGTTTTCCAAACAGTGTAATAAATGTTTCCCTCTGGGCAGAGTTTGGGCGTGTTTGCTAGCAGTCCCATTAGAAGAGTGGGGATTTCCTAAGTTTGGAGTTCCTCAGCTTTGGCACAAACCCAGTTGTGCACTGCATACCCCTGGACCCACATTCACATGGCTCCCTTGATACTTGGGGAGTCAGGAAAACTGATGTGAATGTAAAACTTATGTCACTACCTGCCATGCCATCAGTAAGAAAGTCAGTTGTCTCAGACATAAGGTGTCTCATGTATCTGCCAAGTTTGATGAAAGGGTAGAAAGCTAGTGTGTAGCTTGCAAGTAGGATAAAAGCTCACACTCTTAACAGTTCTTGGCCACCCTAGATCTGGGACAGAGGACAATAGGCCAAGTGCCGGGGAATGGGGTGCTCACTGAAGAGGAGCAGAAGCTCCTCTCAGTGTTGAGAGATTGCCAAGGACCTATATAGAGAAGTACCAGAGACTTCTCCAGAACATAAAACACCTGCAGAACATTTATTTGCATTGGCGCAAACACTACATACACTTCATCTATGTTCTGGCATTAGTTCTCAGCCAAGAGCAAAATCATTTCACTAGTGAATTTTAGAAATGTGTGTAGGGAGGTTTTGGGGGTTTTGTTTGTTTGAGACGGAGTCTCGCTCTGTCGCCAAGCTGGAGTGCAAGTGGCGTGATCTAGGCTCACTGCAGCCTCCGCCTCCGGGGTTCAGGTGATTCTCCTGCCTCAGCCTCCTGAGTAGCTGGGACTACAGGCACGAGCCACCACGCCCGGCTCATTTTTGTATTTTTACAGGAGACAGGGTTTCACCATGTTGGCCAGGCTGGTCTCGAACTCCTGACCTCAGGCCCACCTCAGCCTCCCAAAGTGCTGGGATTACAGGCGTGAGCCACCACGCCAGGCCCCCGGGAGGTTTTGATTGTCGAAATGATAGGGCAGGCCTGGCACGTGGCTCACGCCTGTAATCCCAGCACTTTGGGAGGCCAAGGTGGGCGGATCACGAGGTCAAGGGATCAAGGGTGACAGAGGGAGACTCCATCTCAAAAAAAAAAATTTCCAGCTGAAGGATGAATGCCCCTGCCCCAAAACTTTGCAAGCTCATAGCTAAATGTCCTATGTGGATGCCCTTCCTTTTCAAAGCCACTGCACTGCACTCCAGCCTGGTGCCACTGCACTCCAGCCTGGCGACAGAGCAAGACTCCATCTCAAAAAAAAATAAAAAATAAAAATAAAAAAATAGGGCAGAGATGGGGAATCTACTAACATAGAGTATCTGGGGACCAGGTGTACTAAATGATCACGCACAGTGATAATTTGGCTTCCCCCAACTGCCAATAGCACTACCATTAAGAAACTCTAGTCAGTGTGAGGTATGGGCTTCCATCCATAAAAATGTTCCAGCTGGGCTGGGCACAGTGGCTCATGCCTGTAATCCCAGCACTTTAGGAGGCCGAGGTGGGCGGATCACGAGGTCAGGAGTTCGAGACCAGCCTGGCCAACACGGTGAAACCCTGTCTCTACTAAAAATACAAAAATTAGCCAGGCGTGGTGGCGGGCGCCTGTAATCCCAGCTACTAGGGAGGCTGAGGCACGAGAATTGCTTGAACCCAGGAGGCAGAGGTTGCAGTGAACCGAGATTGTGCCACTACACTCCAGCCTGGGCGACAGAGTGAGACTCCGTGTCAAAACAAAAAATAATAATAATCCAGTTGAAGGATGAATGCCCGTGCCCCAAAACTTTGCAAGCTCATAGCTAAATGCCCCATGTGGACGCCCTTCCTTTTCAATGCCCTGAAACTGATGAGCATTCCCTTTGTGGAGGTCTTAACACCGAGAGCAGGGATAGTAGTAAGAAAGTGAAAACCAGCCACTAGTACTTGGAACTCGACAGAGGTGAAAAACTCCCTACCACTCTACCATTTATATGAATAAGCTATGCTTTTCTGAAGAATAGCTCATCAAGAATTACTTACACTTTTTAAATGGCAAGAAAAAAAGTTTTGACATTAACTAAAAGCAGATTCCATTACTGTGTGAAAACTGGATGAATAGCACGTGTTTATTTCAATTCAACAAGTATCTATTGAACACTTGCTCCATGCTAGGCATTGTACTAGGTGCTGGGGAAATAAAGGTGAATTAGATATGGTCTCTGCTCACAAAGACCTCACGACTCTTCAGGGGAAACAGACACATATACGACTAATTACAATAGAACATCTTAAACCAGACACAAAATCTGTTCTTGCACAAATATTTTATTCTTCATATACAATATCAATAATCCACCCAAAAAAGCCACATTAAAATATTTTGAAATGCACAGACTAATGTTAGGACAATGTTGCATTTTAGTGCAACATTCCTTTTGCAGGAATCACAGAGAAGATGATGCAGCTATCTATAAAGATACAGGAAAAGCAGCTATTCCAAATGTGAGTATGGGAATCAGAATAACTCAGCATGAGCTAGAGTAAGGAGAGCAGGGGCTGGTTGGAAAGAGAGGAAATCACCTGTTTCTACTTTTCCTTCCTGAGGAGGTTGTGTATGAGAGCAAGGGCTCGGGCATTGCTAGAATATTTGATGTGGCACAATGTCCACCTCTGAATACTCTGGCAAAGAGCATCTTTGGAGGCGTTGACAACTTCTAGAATCCCATGTTTGTTGTTGTTGTTTGCTTCCATTTTAACTTAATTGTGGCTGTTTATCACTTGCCCTCATTTCTTATGAAACTAAAACTGTGAAGTATTTTGGTAGTGTATGCTGAACATGGGAATGCATCTTCTTTTTAGGAAAGGAAGACAAATTTTAAACCCAACCCTCTATCACATATAATGAATTTTACTATACTAAAAGTGAGCATGTCCCTTTAAAAAAATATATTGGTCGATAAAAGATAATAAACATAAAAGACAAGTTTTAAAAACAAGCTTAAAGAAACATCTAATTTAGATTATAATCTTTTTTCAGTTTGTGATGTTTTTGTAACTCCTACAAATACATGCGGTGCTCTACATCAATATTTATGGTTTCATAGGAAAAAAACTCCATAAATATGCATAGAAATCATAGTTCCAGCGATTTATATGTAAATATGGAAATGTGGAATAAAATCATTACAAACTGAAAAATAAAAGTGAGGGGGAAAGAAACTCCATGAAAGTTTAGCTATGACAATGGTTGAATTTTTCTAATGAGAAGCTTCATCTGTAGTTTTAAAATAGCCAGACACCTGAAAGAACAAGACAATGTTATAATTAAATAGAAATTGAAGACTATACAATCAACACAAAGACCCCCAAATCAACATATTTTACTGAAAACTCTTTTTGTCTTCATTTTCTCACCAGAGATGTAAGGAACATAGAGTTCATAATTATGAAATATACTCCAAATCAGAAGCTTTGTTTTTTTTTTCATAAAAGTAAATAATTCCTGTTCTTTTATGATACCACCAACTGGGTGCTTTATCAGTTTCCTGCCCTTTTATATTACCTCATTCCATGCTCACATGAAAGTATTTATTTGATATTTTCTATGATACTTTCTGTAAGGTAGAAACTAGTATCTGCAATTTACAGATGAAGAAGCCGAGGCTTACAAGCAATTTATCTGCCTTTTACTAAGAGAGATAGTATGGTATTAATAACTATTCTCTGATACCCTAAGGCCTAAGTGTAAATAATAGTCAAGAGAAAACTTCATTAACATCTTACTGTTTCTTCTATTTTATTTTCTCATTTTAGAACAATATCCAAGGGCATATTCCACATGGTAAGTTATACGTTCTTTTTAGAGTAGCAATCATTATTTTTTAATCATCACATTTAAAAGAACTAATAATGAAAACCCTTTCACAAACACCATGAAGCACAAGACAGGCATGCTTCCTCAGAATTTCAAAATTACACTTGTGGGAGAATGGGAAAAGATTTTAATTATGATTCCATTCCCTTTATTATTCAGCTAAACAAAAAGCTAATGGATTGAAATCATAATGTATTTGCTTGGAATGCACCATACTTGTTCTTATTTTTTTGAGATGGAGTCTCGCTCTGTCACCCAGGCTGGAGTGCAGTGGCGTGCTCTCAGCTCACTGCAAGCTCCACCTCCCAGGTTCACGCCATTCTCCTGCCTCAGCCTCCCAAGTAGCTGGGACTACAGGCACTGGCCACCACGCCCATCTGATTTTTTGTATTTTTAGTAGAGATGGGGTTTCACCGTGTTAGCCAGGACGGTCTCGATTTCCTGATCTCTTGATCCTCCCGCCTCAGCCTCCCAAAGTGCTGGGATTACAGGTGTGAGCCACTGCGCCCGGCCAATCATGCTTGTTCTTTTTAAATGGTAGGTGTTGGTTTGATAGGAATGCTAAATAATAAGAGTAATGAAATTCGCTGGGTGTGGTGGCTCATGCCTGTAATCCCAGCACTTTGGGAGGCTGAGGCAGGTGGATCACGAGGTCAGGAGTTCGAGACCAGCCTGGCCAATATGGTGAAACCCTGTCTCTACTAAAAAAAAAAAATACAAAAATTATCTGAGTGTGGTGGCAGGCACCTGTAATCCCAGCTACTCAGGAGGCTGAGGCAGAAGAATCCTTTGAACCCAGGAGGTGGAGGGTGCAGTGAGCCAAGATCACACCATTGCACTCCAGCCTGGGCGACACAGTGAGACTCTACCTCAACAACAACAAAAAAAGTAATGAAATTCAAATCTTAATAAATTTTTAATTTTTTTCTATGAGAAAAATGCCATCCTTACTAATAGTCAACCTTTTCTTCCTATAGGTGAGGAAGTTCAAGCTCAAATATATGCATAATACTTTATCCCCCAAAGAACCATACTTTCAACTTTTAATTCCCATCTAATCCAACAGCTCAATTTGACATATTTCTTTATGTAGATTTTCCACATAACTTAGCTATATCAGTTGGTCTGGAAAAAGATACAGGTAAGAGTGTGGCCATGTTATTAATTTAATAATCCTATTAAGAGATAATTCTATTATTTTAATATGTCTCTGCCTGGATAACTATGCTTAAAAAATAAAAACTGTCATTTCTTTTTAAAACAAGACTGTAAAATACCTGAACCAAATCCAAATACTTAATAGTAATGAGTATAAGCAGAACTGAGCATTTATTTCTATGAGGAAATAAAATTATGTTTTCAAATAAATACTTTCAAAATATCTACTTTATGGCTGACTTGTATGTTTGGACAGATCCAGAATAAAGGGCCAACTTTTACCTGAGCTCAGAAGAAACTTTCAGCCTTTGAGATAATTGTGAAAGGAGTTTTTCTGCTCTTCATAATCTGCAGATGCAGAAGCAGTAAGTTCTGACTGGAAAGAGAGAGGTCTAGGATTTTCATTCGTGGGGAAAGGATTTGGAAATGTTCCAAGATCAAGACCTCTGCCCTTAAAATATGCCTGAAGCCTTCTGAAAAACTAAAGAGAGAAAGAAAATGGTCAATGCCAGATATAAATGAAACACCAAAAATAAAGGTGTTTTTCTTCCCTCTATTTTTCCCCTGAATTGACTTTAAGGCTAATCTAAGAGGCAGGAAATACAAAATCTAGAAATACAAGTACATGCTTCAGCTACTTCTCCTCCCCTCCTCTGTACCTTCTTTCTGACATTTCAACCCTAACCAAAATAATTCACCATTCTTACTGAAAATTGAAGGAAGACTATGGAGCGGCACCACAGTGGAAAGATTCATTGTGAACTATCTCTGAGTACTAAGGTCAAAGGTGAAAATGAACTCCATAATAAGCAGCTCAGTATCTCCTCTTCCTTAATATGAGATCTCTGTTGTTGCCTTCTGCAATAGTTTCTTTTCAGATTTCCATTAGGAAATGAACACAGAAGATGTGCGAAGTGCTACTTGCTTTGATGCAGGACAGGCAAATCCCAAAACTGGAGCTTAGCACAGGAGGGTTCTTGGCTTTGCCCAGAAAAGAATTTAAGGGCAGGCTGGTTGTGGTAACAATCTTTTATTGAAAGGTACTGCTCCTGCCAGAACAAGGCTAATTCATAGGTAGTGCACCTAGGGCTGACAACATATGGGCTCTTATCAACTGTGTTTTTATCCACTTTTGAATATATGCAAATTAAGGGATGGGTTAATGCAAACAGAAGGGAGTTATTTAGAGCTTTCTAGGAAAGAGGTGGTAACTTTTGGGTCATTGCCATGGAAAGGAGTGGTAGCTTCCAGGTAATTGCCATGACATTTGTAAACTGTCATGGCACTGAGGGGAGGATCATATCCTAAGAGCAATGAGAGCAGGTCGGGACCACTTTTGTTGCCATCTGCTGGTTTCACCCAGTGTTTTCACTTTATCCTGTCTGGACCAGATCCTGTTTTCGTCAGCAGCTGTGACCAGAAAACAAATCCTGCTGGTCTCTTATCTCAGTTTATTTTAATCCTATGTTGTTATATTTCCCATCATTCACTTTAGAAAAACCATATTTCAAAATAGTCATGTCAACATGTTTATTGTATTTGGCATTTTTTTTAAAGAGAATGTTTACTGATCTTTTGAATTCTATTTTATAGATAACTATATGTTGAAAATATGTCCAGTAAATTGATACCCATGCAGGGTCAACTTTCAATTTTTGCAGCTGAGCTTGGCAATCTCTAGTTATATGATAACTTGTTTTATCATCAGTTCAATCTAAGCTATGCACGAGCAATTCCCTGTTACACTCTTTATTTTTTATATGTATTAGAAATCAAGGCTACAAAGTCAATGTGTATATAAGATCAGTTACAAATGAATTGTACTATGTGTGTATAAGATTGTTTCTAAATATAAATTTGTTTCTCTTTACAGAAACAAATGTAAACTGGCCAGAGAAACAATAGGTTGCCAACCACTAGGGTAGTAAAACTCTGGTCCAATCCTGTTGGAGAATTTTCTCAACCCTTGGTAGCCCCCTTTCCACTACGTTCTGGAAAACAGAATGCTGTGTGCGTAAATCCAAAGAGGCATTAGTTCTATCCTGAAACCCAGGCCCCAAGTGTGTTCTTACCAGATCTCTGTTTCTGGGGTTGTTGAGTGGCTTCCATTTGTCCTCATTTCTTACTGTGGCTCCATTCACATGCCCAAGCAGCACCAGGGCAACACATAGTAGCAGGAGAGGTGCTCTGGTCATGGTGGAGTGAAGCTGAGTGAAAGAGGGGATGCGGGAGCTGTCAATGATCATTGAGAGAGATAGTCAGGGAAGAGAGAGAGAAAGAGGAAACATCTGTAAAGGCAGACAAGGAAGGAGAAATAGCATACTGGTTTATCTAAGTTTTACAGCCATCTTTTTTCCAGATTGACTTCTAAATGAGGACCCCAAAATGCAACTGATTAGCTTAAAGTAGCCCATGATAATGAGAATGTTATACAGTGATAAGCAAAACAATTATGGAACATAACATAGAAAGTCTGAATATGCCTTTTTCATCTTTGGAAAAAAAGTACTTTGTTGTCTCCAAAGAAACTGCAACTCTTAAAATAACAAAAAACAAAACCTTAAATTACTTTTAAGCCTTAAGACAGCAGTCTTTAAAAAAAAGAAAAGAAAAAGAAATTACTTCAGATACCGAGCTGAGAAATACACCTTATACACACATCTGAGACAGACAGACACATACCACAACAGTGTGAGTAGAGATTGTCTTCCACTCCAAGGTGTGAAAGAGAAACTGAGACACATTGTAGAAAAGGCTAATAAAGCTTACCAGGAGTTTGGTTTTGGTTGGTCCTCCTAGGTTATCCTGCCTATAATTGGCAAGGCAATTCATGGGTACTTATAACCAATGGATTGGGTGCCAGTGGAAGTCACTGACTTGAGCAGGGGAGTTAAAAAATAATGATTCCTTTTTCATCCAGAACACAAAGATTCTTGAGAGTCAGATCTTCAAGCTTCTTCAGGGATAAGCTTATTTGCCTTAGAAATGCGGCAGCCACTCCTTGAACCACGAACATTTTATGTGGATTTTATAAAACACACAAAGCACTTCCACACAGCAAAGTGATTTTCTCCTTTTTTACTTTTAAGGGAAGGGATACACCTGGAAATATGATGGATTATAGCTGGAAATATGATGATGATTATCCCACCTATTAGAACGTTCTTTTGGAGATATGACTTTTTCAAGTTAACAGCATTTTTTGAACAGAAAATTCTTTTGTGAGAGACAAAATTACTCTTTTTGACCTATACCTTGTACTTTTTTCTGAGAACCTCAAGAAGCTTTACAAGTTTTAAATAGTGGCATCATTTATCATAATATCTCTTCAAAATAGAGCAAGAAGATAACACATGTTTCATGGAAAAAAGATAAATTACTATACCTACAACATTCCCTTGCTGAATAAATGCCATCTGTAGAAAATGGTAGGCCGAGAAATTGGACTTGAGTTGTGACGTTGCTTTGGTTCCAATGATTTAGAACAAAATTTAGGACAAGATATTTATTCAGAAGGCTGGTGATCTCGACTGGAAATTAGCAAACCTGGCTATAGTCTCAGTCTTGCCATCTTGACCCTGGGCAAGTTACTATGACCTCTGCCCTTCAGTTGTTCATTTCCTCTGTTTATTCATTCAGCAGACTTTTACAAAGTGCCTACTATGTGCCAGGTACTGCAACAGGATTTGAGGATGAAATGGTAAGAATAATAAATACAGTCCTTGCCCTCATTAAAATAGAGTAGTGGGCAAGACAAACATTAATCAAATCGTACAACCAAATGTGTACATATAAGTGAACAATCATTTCTATGAAATAGCGAGTGCTATGAAAGTATAGAAAAAGGGAATTTGATTCAGTCTGAGAGCCAAGGAAGTCTTCTGTGAAGAAATGACCTTACATCCAGTCAACTGAATAGGAGTTACCCAGGCAACCTGAGGAAGACAGAGGGAGAAGTGTGTCTAAAAAGGTGAACAGCTGTGCTAGGAATGGGGCACTTTAAAGGTACTGAAATTATGCCAGGCGTAGAGGGAGCAGGTGGGATGCCTGACGCAAGATGGGGCCGGAGAGGTAGTCAGATTATGATCTTTAGGCTACAAGTAATGCTAACTGATTAAAGGGTTTTAGGCATCAAAGAAGCTTGATCATACTTGCATTTTTAAAAGGTTATTCTGGTTGCAGTGGGGAGGAGAGACTGAGCTAGAAAAGAGGGCTGCGCAAAGCCAGTTAGGTGGTTACACAGTAGTCCAGGCAGGAAAAGATGTTAACTTGGATTAGGGCGATGTTAGCACAGATGCACAGATTATGGGTAGATCTGAGAGAGATTTATAAGGGATTGTTAATGTACTGGGTACTACGGGGAGGGGGGCTAAGGAGATGGGAGTTTCAAAACCAATTGCTAGGTCCGTGGGTTATGCAGGTGAGTGGGTTACAGTGCCATTCACCAAGATATCAAACCGAGGCATGGAGGAGTGAAGATCATCATTCTGTTTGGAATGTGTTGAGTTAGAGGAGGCTTTGAGATTTCCTCGTGGGGTTGGAGAGTATGCAATAGGATACACAGATCTGGAGCTCAAAGGAGAAATCTGGGAAGGAAATGTAAATTTGGGAGTTGTTGGCATAGAAGTGAATGAGATTACCTCAGTAAAGTTTAGAATATGAGGAAAAAAGGGGGCCAAAAACTTGAGCTTTGAGAAATTTTAACATGTAACAGCCACATACAGGAATCTACAAAAGAGACCCTGAAGGTGAGGGAAAATCAGCAAAGTATGGAAGCAACAGAAGAAAGTGTTTCAAGAAGGGACACATTGGATAAAATTAGGTCTATAGAGCATTTGAACTGTTTTAGTAGAAAGTCAGATTAGAAGGGACTGGATGGAGAGGAAAATGAGTGAGTATAGCAAGCTCTTGGAAACGCAGCTATGAAAAGAAAGAAGGTAGTTACTAGAGTTAAAAGTAGAGTCAAGGAAAAGTGTTGTAGTTGTTAAAATATGAGAGACTTGTTTGTTTAAATGTCAACGGTTAGGTGAGTAAATGAATACCCTGGAATTGTATTACATCACTCTCTTTAAAACCCCAGGACTTTAAAGTATATAATAATATTGAAATATTAAATTTTTACTGAGGTTCAACATATGCAAATCAATATATGTAATCCATCACATAAACAGAACCAATGACAAAAACCACAACATGATTTGTCTCAATAGATGCAGAAAAGGCCTTCGGCAAAATTCAACAACCTTCATGCTAAAAACTTTCAATAAACCAGGTATTGATGGAACGTATCTCAAAATAATAAGAGCTATTTATCACAAACCCGCAGTCAATAACATATTGAATGGGCAAAAACTGGAAGCATTCCCTTTAAAAACTGGCACAAGACAAGGATGCCCTCTTTCACCACTCCTATTCAACATAGTATTGGAAGTTCTGGCCAGGACAATCAGGCAAGAGAAAGAAATAAAGTGTATTCAATTAGGAAAAGAGGAAGTCAAATTGTCTATGTTTGCAGATGACATGATTGTATATTTAGAAAACCCCATTGTCTCAGCCCAAAATCTCCTTAAGCTGATAAGCAACTTCAGCAAAGTCTCAGGATACAAAAATCAATGTGCAAAAATCACAAGCATTCTTATACACCAGTAACAGACAAACAGCCAAATCATGAGTGAACTCCCATTCACAATTGCTACAAAGAGAATAAAATATATTGGAATACAACTTATAAGGGATATGAAGGATCTCTTCAAGGAGAACTACCAACCACTGCTCAAGGAAATAAGAGAGGACACAAACAAATGGAAAAACATTCCATGCTCATGGATAGGAAGAATCAATATAGTGAAAATGGCCATACTGCCCAAAGTAATTTATAGATTCAATGCTATTCCCATCAAGCTACCATTGACTTTCTTCACAGAACTGGAAACAACTACTGTAAATTTCATATGGAACCAAAAAAGAGCCCACATAGCCAAAAAGAAGAAAAAAAAGAACAAAGCTGAAGGCACCATGCTACCTAACTTCAAACTGTCCTACAAGGCTACAGTAACCAAAACAGCATGGTACTGGTACCAAAACAAATATATAGACCAATGGAACAGAACAGAGCCCTCAGAAATAACACCACACATCTACAACCATCTGATCTTTGACCAACTCAGCAAAAACAAGCAATGGGGAAAGGATCCCCTATTTAATAAACGGTGCTGGGAAAACTGGCTAGCCATATGTAGAAAGCTGAAACTGGATCCTTTCCTTACAGCTTATATGAATATTAACTCAAGATGGATAAAAGACTTAAACGTAAGACCTAAAACTATAAAAACCCTAGAAGAAAACCTAGGCAATACCATTCAGGACATAGGCATGGGCAAAGACTTCAGGACTAAAACACCAAAAGCAATGGCAACAAAAGCCAAAATTGGCAAATGGGATCTAATTACACTAAAGAGCTTCTGCACAGCAAAAGAAACTGTCAACACAGTGAACAGGCAACCTACAGAATGGTAGAAAATTTTTGCAATCTATCTATCTGACAAAGGGCTAATATCCAGAATCTACAAAGAACTTAAACAAATTCACAAGAAAAAAACAACCCCATCAAAAAGTGGCGAAGGATATGAACAGACACTTCTCAGAAGAAGACGTTTATGCAGCCTACAAACACGAAAAAAAGCTCATCATCACTGGTCACTAGAGAAATGCAAATCAAAACCACAATGAGATACCATCTCACACCGGTTAGAATGGCAATCATTAAAAAGTCAGGAAACAACATATGCTGGAGAGGATGTGGAGAAATAGGAGCGCTTTTACACTGTTGGTGAGAGTGTATATTAGTTCAACCATTGTGGCAGACAGTGTGGAAATTCCTCAAGGATCTAGAACTAGAAATACCATTTGACCCAGCAATCCCATTACTGGGTATACACCCAAAGGATTACAAATCATGCTACTATAAAGACACATGCACACATATGTCTATTGCAGCACTATTCACAATAGCAAAGACTTGGAACCAACCCAAATGTCCATCAATGATAGATTGGATAAAGAAAACATGGCACATATACACCATGGAATACTATGCAGCCATAAAAAAGGATGAGTTCATGTCCTTTGCAGGGACATGGATGAAACTGGAAACCATCATTCTCAGCAAACTAACACAGGAACAGAAAACCAAACACTGCATGTTCTCACTCAATAGTGGGAGTTGAACAATGAGAACACATGGACACAGGGAGGGGAACATCACACACTGGGGCCTATAGGGGGTTGAGAGGCTGGGGGAGAGATAGCACTAGGAGAAATACCTAATGTAGATGACGAGTTGATGAGTGCAACAAACCAACATGGCATGCGTATACCTGTATAACAAACCTGCATGTTCTGCACATGTACCCCAGAACTTACAGTATAATAAAAAACAAATCAAAAAAAAAATTTTTACTGAGATTATAGTAAAAAGTCACAACACTATAAACTCCTTAGACAATGCCCACCCTCACATTCCCAGTGCCCAATGTTGAGCCCAATATGCAAGCACTTTTAAAACAGGAAATACTGGCTGAATAAATTACAACAGATTTTCATAGCCATTTATCTATGAATAATTGATAGTTCCATTTGTATAAAAACATAGTTCATCTGTTCTTTTAAGAGCTTCTTAAATTTTTAAGAAATATTTATAGTTTCTCAAAGGAACCGATGGACCAAAGGTAACATACATACTATAGTCTTGTTCCTTAACACTGGAGTTTCCCTGATGATTAATAGAACATAGAACTATATGTTTAAGTTAAAAAAATTAATTCCTTTGTTTCTTTTTTTAAGAGACAGGGCCGTACTCTGCCACCCAGGCTGGAGTGCAGTGGTACAATCACAGCTCACTGCAGCCTCCACCTCCTAGGCTCAAGTGATCCTTCCACCCTAGCCTCCCGAGTAGCTAGGACTACAGGCACACATCAACATGGCTGGCTCTCTTTTTTTTTTCTTTTTTTGTAGAACCATGTTTCACTATGTTGCCCAGGCTGGTCTCAAACTCCTGGTCTCAAGTCATTCTCCTGCCTGAGCCTCCCAAAGTTCTGGGATTTCAGGCATGAGCCACCATGCCTGGCCAGTTTCTTGATTTTAAATTTCTTTTTTAAAGAGCAGAAGGTACTACTGATAAAGTTGATTATGACATTTCCTTCAAAATGTATCAACACAGCACTAAGTAGATATTTTATAATTATTTGGTTAATAGGTTCAATCGAGAGAAAGAGAAAAAAACCCACAATATTTTAGGTTCTCAAACCATTAGTTTTTGGTCCAAATTATCTAATTTGGTCTCTTCATTAAGTAGTGCATTTGTAACAGTAGCAGTTGGGACAAAAGGGTGTGGTAGCAGGCAAAAAGGTGCTTCTGCACCCAGAGGCATCTGAATGAAATTCTTTGCTAGCATTTCTCAAGTGGAATTTGAAAAGAAAATAGAGTACTCAGCACAGAACCACACACATGAAAGAAATCCAACAAATATGTGTTGATTGAATTACAAATTGAAGTATAATATAAATGCAAACATAGGCTAATTGTGGGGAAATCATGCTAATTAAACAAGGTAGGGAGGAATTTTTAAACCATCTATTGGACTATATAACCTTTTCAAACCCTTCTTGTCTCTTTTAAGGAAAAAAACCCAGAGCTGATACAGCTCGTTAGCTGTATCATGAATGAGGACATAAAATTTAATCTCTTTTTTCTTCCCCTTGGCCTAAGTGAATAGGAAAATTATTATTTATAGAGTGCCTCCTCAGTGATGATGAGGACTTCAAAAATAAGGGAAAGGTTGCTCATATGATTAATAGAGCAGGCCGGGCAGCTTTCTGCTCATAGCAATAACTGCTTTTTTTGTGTGTGACAGCAACAGATTTCAGTTTGAAGGTGGAATAAAGAGAAGGAGGAAGAAATAAACCTCTTGTGATAAACAGAACAGAAGCAAAGAGCTGTGGGTCAAGGGAGCCATAGTGACTATGACAGACAGGAGAGTAGGGGCTCACCCCTCATATTCTGGGGGCACAAAAATCTCCCAGATTCTATGAGACCCAGAGGAGGTGAGGGTAGGTGCAGAAACCATTGAAGTTGAATTTCCCTCCTCCCCCATTGGTATAGGGGCTTAGAGTCAAACGACGTTGGTTAAAAACACACATGACATTCTCAAAAACCTCCACAGTAGGGTGAACCATTTGTCCTTTTCAGCAGCATCTATATTAAGTGTAAGTATAAAGTTGACCCTCAGAATTCTGTAGTTATTCACTATGGAGAAATCTGTCGTATTCTTTGCTATCATCAGTTTTGTTTTCTAAAAAATGGCAAAGTAAAGATGGCAGTAATAGAAACTGGGGACTATTAGAAGGAAGGAGAGAGGGAGGAGGGCAAGGGTTGAAAAACTAACTGCCGGGTACTGTGCTTAGTACCTGAGTGATGGGATCATTCATATCCCAAACCTCTGCATCACGCAATATACCCAGGTAACAAACCAGCATGTGTACCCCCCGAATCTAAAATAAAAGTTGGAAAAAAATGTTAGAGGGGTATATTAAAAAGGATAAAAGATCTTCCTCTGTTTAAAATATGTTACAACCGTTTTTATGTAATAGGGCTAGAGTGTAAGCCAATTCTAAAAGCCTGAGTATTGGGGGAACCCACCCCCATATTTCAATGTGGGTTCTTTCTATTTTGCATAAGTGTTGGCCGGCTGAGAAATAAAGAGAAAGAGTACCAAGAGAGGAATTTTACAGCTGGGCTGCTGGGGGTGACATCACATATCAGTAGGACCATGATGCCCACCTGAGCCTTAAAGCCAGCAAGTTTTATTAAGGATTTCAAAAGGGGAGGGGGTGCAAGAACAGGGAGTAGGTCGCAAAGATTACATGCTTCAAAGGGTAAAAAGGAGAACAAAGATCACATGCTTCTGAGGAAATAGGACAAGGGCAAAATCAGAAACTCCTGCTAAGGGTCCAGCAAAGATCACAAAGCAAAGGGCAAAAGCAGAATTACTGACAAGGGTCTATGTTCAGCAGTGCAAGTGCAAGTATTGTCTTTTTTTTTTTTTTTTTTTTTTGAGACAGAGTCTTGTTCTTTCGCCCAGGCTGGAGTGCAGTGGCGAGATCTTGGCTCACTTCAAGCTCCGCCTCCTGGGTTCATGCCATTCTCCTGCCTCAGCCTCCCAAGTAGCTGGGACCACAGGCGCCTGCCACCATTCCTGGCTAATTTTTTTGTATTTTTAGTAGAGACAGGGTTTCACCGTGTTAGCCAGGATGGTCTCGATCTCCTGACCTTGTGATCTGCCCACCTTGGCCTCCCAAAGTGCTGGGATTACAGGCTTGTGCCACCGCACCTGGCCGCACGTATTGTCTTGATAAACATCTTAAACAACAGAAAACAGGGTTTGAGAGCAGAGAACCGGTCTGACCTCAAATTTACCAGGGTGGGGTTTTTCCCCACACTAGTAAGCCTGAGAGTACTGCAGGAGACCAGGGGGTATTTCAGTCCTTATCTCAACTGCATAAGACAGACACTCCCAGAGCGGCCATTTATAGACCTCCCCCCAGGAATGCATTCCTTTCCCAGAGTATTAATCCTTGCTAGGAAAAGAATTTAGTGATATCTTCCCTACTTGCACGTCCATTTATAGGCTCTCTGCAAGAAGGAAAATATGGCTCGTTTTGCCCAACCCACAGGCAGTCAGACCTTATGGTTGTCTTCCCTTGTTCCCTAAAATCGCTGTTATTCTGTTCTTTTTCAAGGTGCATTGATTTCATATTCTTCAAACACTCATGTTTTACAGTCAATTTGTACAGTTAACACAATTATCGTAGTGGTCCTGAGGTGACGTACATCCTCAGCTTACGAAGATAACAGGATTAAGAGATTAAAGTAAGACAGGTGTAAGAAATTATGAAAGTATTATTTGGGAACTAGTAAATGTCCATGAAATCTTCACAATTTATGTTCCTCTGCTGCGGCTCCAGCCAGTCCCTCCATTCGGGGTCCCTGACTTCCTGCGACACCTGAGACCACAGAGCAAGGAGGCCCCGTGCCAACTAGGTTGGCCATGCTTCCTCCAGAGTGTGAGGCAATTCTGGAAGCCTGAACCCATAGAGAAAGGAGGCCCCAGGCCAAGCAAGGTTGCCATGCTTCCTGGAGAGCACTGGCTCTCAAGTCCAGGCTGACCTCACAGCTGCTGCTTCCATCAGGTGTTCATGATCAATTTCTGGGACTTGGGCAGCAGCCTCCCTGTCTCCTGCCCCTGGTCTGTCTTCCTCACAGCCACCAGCCTTTCCAAAACACAAATGCCACAATTTGGGCTAGTAAGAGAGAGCCAGCCAATGCATCCCTTTAAATCCTGCCCTAAGTTCAAGCCATTTCTCCTACAGCTAAGATGGAGGAGTAGAGTCAACAGAGGATAAAAATCATGATAATCATGCTTGAGCAAAAGCCAGCTGGGAGAAACACAGTGAAAAACTAGACATCCGGATTCACACACTGACTGAGACATAAACTGAACTGAGAACCAGGTTCCCAACCCCTTCTCTCATCTCAGGCCCTACTGATATCTCCAAATTCATCAGAGGAGTAAAATATTTTTCCTAAAATATAGAAGGCAGAATCATTGCTTACAGTTTTGCAAACAGGTCTTTGGCAGGCAGGCTGCTTTTGTAGCAGAGAGCCTGAGGGCAGACAAGGTCTCACAGCTGAGGTAAAGCTCACATGCATCACATCTCCTTCTCATGGTATCTGGATGCCCATAAAATAGAGTCTAAACTCTTGATTGTGATGTAAAGGCTCTCAATATGATCCAGTCCTACCATTCCATCCACTTGACCTCCAGTGACCACCATTGCACTTATGCCTGAGTGCCATTGAAATTGCTGTTGCTTCTGTCTGGAATACCTTCTCCAACCCTTGTATGCCCTCATAATTTCTCTCTGTTTGCTTCTTCAAAGCTCAGATCAAATATCACTTCTTTTGAGAAAAAGATACCACTGCGTCATTTCAACCGTTCTTGCCAGGTGAAATTAATGTAATTGACTGAATGATTGTGTCCCCCTGACCCCAAATTCATATCTTGAAAACCTAACCCTAAATGTGATGCTATCAGGAGGTGGAGCCTCTCGGAGGTGATTGGTTCATCAGAATAGAGCCCTAATGAATGGGATTGGTGCCCTTCTAAAAGAGACCTCAAAGAACTCTCCTGCCCTTTTTCTGCCACGTAAGGATACAGGGAGAAGATGACAGTCTGCAATCCAGAGGATGGCTTCGCCAGAACCCAATCTGTGCTGGCACCCTGATCTTAGATTTCCAGTCTCCAGAACTGTGAGAAATGAATGTCTGTTGTTCACAAGCCACCCAGTCTATGGTACTTTGTTACAGCAGCCCAAACTAAGACAATCAGGATGACTGCATTTGTTTCCACTTGGCTCATGGTTCACAAGGTGCTCTCTTGAAGGAGGCACCATGTCTTTTTTATCATTGATTCTTCAGAGCTTGGTCTTGTCTTCAGAGGTTGGTATAATGCCTGGCACAGTGTAGTTATATCACAAATGTTTATGGAATTAAAAATTCTGTAGGTAAAATTTGAACTTAGATTCTTACGATATTTCAGCCTTGTTACATTTCTATTTTGTATCATTCACCAGAGATTTACATAATGTCATATTTTAATAAGGAGGGGAGAGATAATTGTAGTTGACCAGTATTTGTCAATTTTACTTGAATAGTCAATAGACCAGTAAAGTGTAAATTAATATTTGATCTATCTCTTGCACACAAACCAATAGAGACTGGGGAAACTGTGGCGTATTCATGACCACACACACTTTTCTATTTGAATTGTTCTGGATTTGAGGGGGTGGGGCAGAGCTGTTTTGTCCAAGTCCTGAGATAACTCAGATGGGGAAGCCCAGTCAATAAGAAATAATTCATATTCAATATGGTAGTCCTCAAATCACAACATAGGCCTGCTAAAGGAGTTAAAGGACATTAGAACCATCCAGAATAATTATTATTAGTACAGCTTTCTCCCCTCCATTCAGAAGCAAAGCAGTTCTTATTTATTTATTTATTTGTTTTTCCCCTCCAGGGATATGGAAACTTCGGGCCCTATTTGGTGCATCCTGCCCTGAAGCTATTTAAGAGCCTAAAGGCCCATACGTCATAGGAGATATCTCCCATTAGTCATCCATGAAGAGCACCTTGGGATTTCTCTCCTCTCCCTTTGTTCCTTTTAACTAATTATTTAGATTTCTGGCTTACTATCAAACTTTAAGGATGGCTTGCCCTTCTGATGTAGGATAATAAGCATGGTATTTATTGAATACATACTATGTGTCAGGGCCTCTGCTTTGTCACTACTCATTGTTAATTTTCACAACCCAATGTATAGACCATACTCTTCTCAATTTATACATTGGAAGTGGAGGTTATAAGAGAGATTGAGTTTTCAAGACTGAGTTCCTAGCATGTTACTTAGTATAAATCTAGATGTGTTTTCTTAGGAGTTTAGGGTTAAGACATACTTATGAATAAGAATTCTGTGAAAGGATTCTGAGATGATCCTGGGTTGCAGCAAAGCTGGCAGTGCAGATTGAAACCTTAAATTCTATCTGAGAATTTGGGCTTCCTAAGATCTATATGGCCCAAAGTAGTATGAGACCTTAGAAGATATGGTAGGGTGAAAATGCCCACCCCAAAGACATCAAGCCCTAATGCTTGTAAATGTTACCTTATTTGGAAGAAAGGTCTTTGTATATGTGATTAAGTTAAGGCTCTTGAGATGAGACTATCCTGATTTATCAGGGTATGCCCTCAAAGCAATCAATTTGATTGCTTGTCTTTAAGAGAGGCAGGGGGAGATTTCACAGGCACACAGAGGGGAAGGCAATGTGAGCACAGAGCAGAGAGAGATTTGACAATGCTGGCCTTGAGGGCTGGTATGATGTGGCCACAAGCCAAGGAATGCCAGCAGCCAACAGAAGCTGGAAGAGGAAGGGAACAAGTCCTTCCATAGGGTGTCCAGAGGTGGCATGGCCCTACCCATGCCTGGATTTTGGCTCAGAGGTACTGAATTCAGACTTTCTGGCCTTCAAAACTGTGAGAGAATATATTTCTGTTGTTTTAAGCCATCCAGTTTTTGGTAATTTGTTACAGCAGTCAAAGGAAAAGACTACAGGGGATGTTGAGACATCAGGCCAATCACGGAGGAAGACTCATGACTCACCACAACTGCTTTAGGTTCTACTAAACACACTAAGCTGCAGTAGACTTAGAACCTGGATTCAAATTTTTATTCCCTTTTGAGGAAGGCTGAGCTTCTTCTGTCATCCAGATCACAACACAAAATGGATTTGGATTGAAATATCTATTATGAACCTGGGATTTTACATAAGTCAAACTATAATTGAATATCTTTTTGATACAAAAGGGATGAGAAAAGAGGCCACATCAGAATATTAAACTAGATAAGACCCTTTCCATGAGTCACATAATTTTGTATTGAACCACATTTTAGCCTATTAATAAAGTTATATAAGTATTTGAAAGAAATACCATTCTTAAAATATAACTTAAATTTCCAGGTACATATTTTGTATGATAAAAGGAGTAGTTTTAGAGAAGAGAAAAAAATAAGGACAATTCAGATGGGTAATTCTTTAGATATTTTGGGACATAATTGGGGAAATGATTTTCTTTTAGTGCTATTAATCAATTGTGAGCTCTGAAATAGAACCAGTGAGCTTTTTTTTTTTTTTTTTTTTTTTTTTTTTTTTGAGACAGAGTCTTGGCACGATCTTGTCTCACTGCAACCTCCGCTCCTGGATCCAAGCGATTCTCCTGCCTCAGCTTCCCGAGTGGCTGGGACTACAGGCATGTGCCACCATGCCCAGCTAATTTTTGTATTTTTAGTAGAGATGGGGTTTCACCATGTTGGCCAGGATGGTCTCGATCTCCTGACCTCAAAATCTGCCCGCCTTGGCCTCCCAAAGTGCTGGGATTACAGGCATGAGCCACTGCGCCCGGCCACAACCAGTGAGCTTTTATCCTAAGGGGAAAAAAATTAACAAAGAACAAAAACAAAAATATTACCCCACCTCCAAAATGATAGTTCATTCCCAGCATGCTGAGAGCACTGTAGGTACATAAAATGTTATCCAATTATTTTAAACAAAATTGAATAAATAAGCAAACGTTTATACTCCCCCTTCAAAAGTGCATTCTGTAAGTCTGGCTCTGGAAAAATACATGAGAAATCTCAGAACCTGCTTCTTTACGCCAGAACTCTGTTCTTTAAAGACCAAGATTACATTCTCAATTAGAAAACTGCAATTTGGTTCCACCACATCCTGACTAAAACTGTATAGTTTTCTCTATTCTTTCATTTTCCCCTTCCCCATTCCTTTATTGTACATAAAGTAACTGGTGTATGTGCACAAGCATATTGCATTTTTTTTTCAACTAAACAGCCAATGGTATGTTTTGATTGACATCAAGTGGAGACGGGATGGGGAAAAATACTGATTCTGTGAAAATACCCCCTTTCTCCATTAGCGGCATGCTCATTCAGCTCTTATCTTTATATTCCAGTAAGTTATTTTGCTCTGTTTTAACAACAACAAAAATCCTTGCATACCTTTTTCAGTTGGAGAATTTTAATGTTTTTCATTTATCATTGTAAAACCAAGGACAGTTTTATAACTTTTTTGTATGTAGCTGTTATATGTAGGGCAATCTGTCTTTAAGTAGGGATAAATTACCCTAAAACAAAAAAGAATCTTAGATAGTTTTCCCTTCAAGTCAAGTGTCTTGTTGTTTAAATAAACTTCTTGTTAAAAAAAAAAAAAAAGACTAACGGGGATTATAATATGCAGGATAGAAGGGAAGTGAGTGAGCAAAGAGGGGAGACCATTTATGAAGCTGCTATAAAATTTGGAATAATAGTAATGATGGTCTAAACTAGGGTGGGAGCTAGAAAGGGTGGCCGTAAAGAGCTAGACTCTTTAAGGCTTAACAACTACGTAGATGTAGTAGGCAAGTAAGAAGTTGCCAAAATGAATGTTAAATAGACTTTAAACTTGTGTAATTGGGAGGATTTAATAGAAATTTGGAAACTAAAACGAGCTGCTGATTAGGGAGGGAGAGAAATTACTAGGGGCTGGGCATAGTGGCTCATGTCTGTAATCCTAGCACTTTGGGAGGCTGAGGCAGGTGGATGACTTGAGCTCAGGAGTTCAAGACCAGCTTGGGCAACATGGCCAAATCCTGCCTCTGCAAAAAAATAGAAAAATTAGCCAGGTGTGGGGGTGCATGCCCATAGTTCCAGTTACTTGGGGGGGCTGAGGCAGGAGGATCACTTGAACCTGGGAGGTAGAGAGGCTGCAGTGAGCTGAGATCACGCCACTGCACTCCAGCCTGTATGACAAAGTGAGACCCTGTCTCAAACAAAACAAAACAAAACAAAACAAGAAAACCAAACCAAAGAAAGAAATTATTATGTTAAATTTCAACAGTAATTTGATACTTTGTTTGTCTAGTTTGGTGAAGACTAGAGTTTAGGGGGCTGGAAAGAAAGCACCTATCATTCTTGAGAACCTACTATGTGTCAGGTACATTATCTCATTTAATCCTCATCCAAATTTTGTAAGATGGATATTACTAGCTACAATTTATGAATGAAGACACAGACTCAGAGAGGCTAAATGTACTGCCATTGACTCAGAGATACTTAGATATGGAATTCAGGAAGCAAATCTGTCTGACTTGGTGAATCATCCACCAAGAATATAACACTGAAGTCACAGAGTTGCATGAAATATCTAAATGGTAACAAGGAAGGTTGTGGACATACCATTAGAAACAATTTTTTTTCAAGTTAAGAGTAATAATTAGTATGGTCAGAAAAGATTTTGAGAGTAGGAAGTGAACTAATATAATTACATATTTCAGGTCTTCATTTAAGAACACTATTTCTTAGACAGGCAATCTGGCTTGAATTCTACTACAGGCAAATTACTTAATTTCTCTGAGCCTACATCCTTTCTTATGGTATGGGGATAATAATCCTCTTTGTAAGGGTTTTTTTTTTCTTTTTTTGAGAATGAAATGAGAAGCTGAATGTGAATGTGTCTGGCACAGATTTTGTTGTGACAGGTACTCAATCCATCTGCTGAAAGGACAAAGTATGCATGAAAAGGAAGTGTACAAACCCCAAAATACAGTCTGGAAGATTTTATGAAAAGAACTGCTTACCTCTTTTAGTTTTCTTCTGATTTTTTTTCTTCAAAGTTGAATTATAGCATATATTTCTGATTAAGGTTTTCAGTTAGTTGTATTTGGTACTTAAATGTCTTACTGCACTATACAGTCTCACTGGAACAATAAACTTTCTAAATTTAAAACTGTAAGGTCCAGCAACAAGATGAAGAAAGAATACAATGGAGATTCATAATACTCATTCTCCATACCCTTTGCTGTCGTGAAGTAATAATAGACAGGTTCTGATCTGGAAACTTCATTTTTGCTTTCAGGATAATACAAGTATACACAGATATTAGAAACCTCACTTTGTATCACTATACATAGATATAAAGGCAACCTCACTTCTGCACAGCAAAAGAAACAATCAACAAAGTGAAGAGACAACCTACAGAATGGGAGAATGTATTTTCAAACCATAGACCTGATAAGGAGTTATATCCAAAATATACAAGGAATCCAAGCAACTCAATAGCAAGAAAATAACCTGATTAAAACATGGGTAAAGGGGCTGAGCATGGTGGCTCATGTCTGTAATCCCAGCACTTTGGGAGGCTGAGGAGGGCGGATCACCTGAGGTCAGGAGTTCAAGACTAGCCTGGCTAACACAGTGAAACCACATCTCTACTAAAAATACAAAAATTAGCCAGGCATGGCAGCATGTGCCTGTAGTCCCAGCTACTCAGGAGGCTGAGGCAAAAGAAGTGCTCGAACCCAGGATGGGGAGGTTGTAGTGAGCCACTGCACTCCAGCCTGGGCAACAGAGTGAGACTCTGTCTCAAAAAAAAAAAAAAAAAAAAAGGTAAAGGACTTCAATGGATATTTCTCAAAAAAAGACATACACATGGCCAACAGGTATATGAAAAAATTATCAACATCACTAATAATCAGGAAAATGCAAATCAAAACCACAATGAGATAACACCTCACATGTTAGAATGACTATAGTTAATAATACTATATTGCAAACTTGAAATTTGCTAAGAAAGTAGATCTTAAATATTCTCAACACACACAAGGTTACTGGATATTACCTTGCATATGCTAATTAGCTTGATTGTGGTAATCATCTCATGGTGTATACATATATCAAAACATCATGTTGTACAGCTTAAAACTACATTTTTTACTTGTCAATTAGTATCTCAGTAAAGCTATTGGAGGGGGAGACAATCTCAAAGGGTTACAAGATACATCCTAAACTAAGTTTCTCCAGAGGAGGGTGTGTACATTCTAAGTAGTGTGCAAGACAGCACATCGGGATGTAGGAGGAAGACATAATTCACTTTCATGTTTTTAATCTAACAAATGAAGTTACCAACAATTTATAAATGGATTGACACTAATGCTCTCACACATTCAGCCTTTATCACAGATGGCTGCACACAGTCCATAGGAGATACCCGAAGAGAACAGGGAGAATTCTACAGCATACAGGAAGACAGGGCCCCTAATTTGTACATGGGCTTGTTCACTTTAAGAATAATGTGATGCAGTATATGATTCATGTATTATATTATTAAATATTTATTATGTTATTTAGTTCTAACCAGTGTAACTACCACAAATGAATAAGCAGCTTAAAAACACTCCTCCCAAGAAACCATAGGTTGAATATAATACCAGTAATGGAAGCACAAACCAACAAAAGAAAATAATAAGCACTGACACTTCTACTCCTTTGCCAGCTTCATTAGGAATTGAAAATTATAATTTAATCAGATCTGGTAATGTCACTCCTCCCCATTAAAAATTATCAAGATTATTTGAAAAATCAATGACATCCACTATTGCCCTAAATATATTTTTGTGTCTTGAGATATCAGTTGTTGATCATGGCACTATTATAATTAGCAAAATACTTAAAAATATATTGTCTTCATTACAACCTTCTAAATTTTTTAATTTACATATTAGTATTGTAGTAGTATGTTTATGGGGGAACATTTAAACTTCTTTAACAATAAGAGTTTGCAATCAAAAAAGTCTGAGATGATTTTCCAAAACACATTTCCCTTTATGGTATTCTATAGATTTGTAATTTATGAATGTAACAAAAGGTTTTTACATTAATATCACAGAAATAGAAATGAGAATGATAGTTGCCAGGCAATCAGGAGAGAGGGAAATGAGGAGTTCTTGTTTAATGGATATAGTTGCAGTTTTCAGAGAAAAAGAAAAAGAGTTATTCAGATGGGTGGTGGTGGTGGCTGCACAACACTGAATTTAATACCACTGAACTATATACTTTAAAATGGTTAAGATGATAAACTGTGTTATGTGTATTTTATCACAATACAACAATTGAGGCCAGGCGCAGTGGCTCACACCTGTAACCCCAGCACTTTGGGAGACCGAGGTGGGCAGATCACGAGGTCAGGAGATCGAGACCATCCTGGCTAACATGGTGAAGCCCCATCTCTAATAAAAATACAAAAAATTAGCTGGCGTGGTGGCGGGCACCTGTAGTCCCAGCTACTCAGGAGGCTAAGGCAGGGGAATCGCTTGAACCCGGTAGACGGAGGTTGCAGTGAGCAGAGATCGCACCACTGCACTCTAGCCTTGACGACAGAGGGAGGACTCTGTCTCAAAAACAAAACAAAACAAAACAAAACAAAACAAAGCAATTGAGCCTGGGCAACAAAGGAGGACCCTTTCTCTACAAAAAATTTTAGAAGTCCAGCTACTTGGGAGGCTGATGTAGGAGGATCACTTGAGCCCAGGAGGCCAAGGCTGTAGTGAGCCATGATCGTGCCACTGTACCCCAGCCTGGGTGACAGAGGGAGATTCTGTCTCAAAAAAAAAAAAAAAAAAAAAGGACAAATCAGAACAAAAAAACCCCGACAACATTGGGGGAAAAAACTTGTTGGAACAAAGAATTTAAAATACAGTAAATGTTACACATTCCTAACTAAAATGCAACTATATGACAAACTTTTTCTAAAAAGGGTAATCTACTTCCTTTCTTAACATAAATTCTTTTTTTTCTCCAGTAGGTCAAAATCTTTTCCAGAAAATAAATTTCCTCCTCTTCCCTCCACCCCAATCCTGTACACCACCTTCTTCAGGCAGCAATCTCTGTACTGCCTACCATGTACAATGCTGTATTTCCTGCAAGCCAGGAAACGAAGAGAAAGGCTGAATCATAAAGTTTCTTCTTCAAACACCTTCTCACTGAACTTATGTAGTTGCAGAGTGAAGAGGTCTTTAATATTTCAGTCAAATCTTCTACTCTAATCCCTAGATCATTCTAGCTGGATTTATTTTCCTCCAAACTTTCTAAAGTTCTTTCTTAATCAGAATCGTGCAAAATATTAAATGTAAAAAGCATGGTGATTGTCTTTTGTGTTGAGCATGTGTTAATATGAACATACCTCACAGAACTATTCCATACTGAAGGATGATTTACAAATATGAATACTCAAATGGGCATGTAGCTCTGCAAAACCTGAAGCTTTCATTTACACAATATACTGTGACTTAGGCACAACTAGAAAGTCCATCTAACTTAATTCTTTCTCCAAACATAGTCAAAAGAGAATTTCTAGAAACATTTTTCAAAGGTCAATTTGACCTTATATAATTTTGTTTGAGTTAGTCATTACTCTTGACTGATACCCAATATGAAATTACATCTATTAAGCACAGTAAAATGATTCAGCTCATTTGATAAGGCAAGCTGGTCCACTCTTTCTTACTTTCAGGCTATATCCAAATTCTGACTGTTCAAAACAAGCAGAGCAAATCCATTTCTAGACGAATCAAAATCTCTCTCTCTCTCTCTCTCTCACACACACACACACACACACACACACACACACACACACACACACACAAAGCAACCTAGCAACCTAGGGGTGGGAGACTTCTTTAAAAGCTGTTTAAAATTCATCAAGGGACTTTTCTCTCACTGAAACATTTTATGTTTAATTCATCAGCTCCTTGAGTTAAAACTATGGAATATTAAGTATAGCAATTATGAAAAAAGACTTTAGTTCCATGTCACGTGTAGCATGCGGACTTCTAAAATGGTCCCCAAGGTTTTCACCCTCTGGTGTATACCTTGTATAATCCCCTCCTCTTGACTGTGGATGAAATTCTGTGAATATGATTGTTTACCTTACATAATACAAATGATTTTGCAGATATAATTAAGGTTGACTTTGAGTTAATCAACTCAAAGGGAAATTATGTCAGTGGACCTAAGATATTCACTTGAGCCCTCTAAATCTGGGTCTAAAGGTCAGTGACAGAGGAAGTCAAAGAGATTCAAATGTGAAACTCTCTTGCTGGTTTTGAAGGAGCAAACTGCCATGATGTCAAAAGGCTATGTGGTAGGGCATGGCACCAGAGTTCAAGAGTCCCCGGTTGACAGCCAGAAAACAGGGACCTCAGCCCTAGGACCACATAAAAGTGAATTCTGACAACAAACGGAATGAGCCTCAGATGGGACAGCAACCTGGTCAAATTCATTGCTCATTGTGAGACTCTGAGCAGAGAACAAACACACTAGGGCTATGCCTAGAATTCTGACCTACGGAGCAAATAAATGGGTGTTGTTCTAAGCAGTTAAAATTGTAGTCTTTTGTTATGCAGCAATTAACATACATATGTTAACATATATATGTATATATACATACACACACGCACATTTTTTTTCACACAATCTTTTTTCACTTCCTTCTTCATCTTCACCCCCTTTTCCAGAAAAAATGAAAAAGAGAAAAACTAGTGAGGAAGGCCCACGAGGTTTCCATGCTGTATATTCAGTGGATTCCAAATTGATGTGGTCTCATTCAAAGTAATCCCCTAGGTATCCAAAGAAATATTAAAGTTTCTAGTTAAGTATTTTCATCCTTAAAAATGTACTTCTTTGGGTATATTTAATAACATACACAATGCTTTGGGAGCCGAGGCAGGTGGATCACCTGAGGTCAGGAGTTTGAGACCAGTCTGGACAACATGGTGAAACCCCATCTCTACTAAAAATACAAAAAATAACCGGGCATGGTGGCAGACGCCTGTAATCCCAGCTACTCGGGAGGCTGAGGCAGGAGAATCACTTGAACCCCAGGGGCAAAGGTTGCAGTGAGCTAACATCCTGCCACTTCATTCCAGCCTGGGCGAAAGAGCCAGACTCTGTCTCAAAAACAAAAAAAAACAAAAAAACAGGGGCCGGGTGCAGTGGCTCACACCTGTAATCCCAGCACTTTGGGGTGCCGAGGCGGGCGGATCACGAGGTCTGGAGATAAAGACCATCCTGGCTAACACAGTGAAACCCCGTCTCTACTAAAAATACAAAAAATTAGACGGGCGTGGTGGCGGGCGCCTGTAGTCCCAGCTACTCGGGAGGCTGAGGCAGGAGAATGGTTTGAACCCGGGAAGCGGAGCTTTCAGTGAGCCGAGATCACGCCACTGCACTCCAGCCTGGGCAACAGAGCGAGACTCCATCTCAAAACAAAACAAACAAAACAAAAACGACAACAACAACAACAAAAAGCCAAAACCATACACAACATTAGGACAGGCAGATAATTCGTAAACGTTCATATATTTAGGGATGCTGGTTAAAAGTTTAGAAGGTACTCTTCCCTCAAAATATATCCTCCCCCATTTTACTCCTCCCATATGTTCTATAATAAAATCGGAACCTGTACTAAAACTCTCAAATTATTGTTTCTTTTGGCACTTTGTAATGCTCAGGACAGCATTTCTAGTTGTTTCTAGGAGGCCTAGCAAGTTAACTCTATTGACTAAGGGAATGTTCACCAAACTTGATTGAGAATTACTTTTGGGGCACCTGTTAAAAAAATTCCAGGCCCCTCCCCTAAAGATCAAATTTCTGGAGTGACCTGAAAATCTGTTTACAAACAGTTTAAATCATTCTCATTCCTACTAAGTTGAGAAACTAGGCGCTCAGTGTGAGAAACATGCTCAGCCGTCCAAACCCAAAGAATGGACTTAGAGGCATGAAGAACAGCTCTCCTAATCATTCCCCGCTTCTCCTGTGAACAGGATATTCATGACAGACATCATTTCAGCCCAGGTATAAAAGCTGGGTTCCAGGAATTGGTCTGCTAAATGGCTGGGATCTTGTAGGAGTGGTTTCATTTGCTTCTTGAAATTCCTAACTTCAGTTCTTGTAAGAGGAGCATTTACAAAGCCAATTTTTCCTTGTCCCATGGGAACTTGCGTAAGCGTGAACATGCTAGATGCCTGCTGTGTGGAAGGGATAGGTAAGTTTTCGATCTCTCTCTTACACTGTTTTAATTCTTTTCTTTAATTTGGATAAGGATTTAAAGGAGCAGTTGGTTTGGCTTCCCCATGGTCTCCGGGTCTTTCTTCCTCTAACCCTCCTGCTGCCCCTTGATCTTCCTGTCCCCTATCTTGAGAGGCTTATGGAGGGGTGAGCATGATAGGGGGTCCCAGGGCTTTTCACTAGGCTTTCTTCTTTGAGGGGGAACAAGGGGGCTAATTCCTTAATCCAGCAGAGAGTGTAACCTATCTCTCTAATTCACATAGAGAATTAAAGCTTGGCACACCCAATCCTCATCTGAGCCAAACTTAGGCCAAAAGACCAAAGGCTTACAAATCAGGTCTTTGGGCCAGATAAAACAGCAATACTCTAAATGTTTTGCTTTTCCTTGTCTCTGGTTCAAGGGTTGTTCCTCCAAACCTGCAACATTTTCCCCAAAGGACTATCTGGGGGAATGTCAGAGGGAGTCTCTTTGGCTCCCTCTTCCCTTTGTCCCCTAGGCCTAGAATTTCTGTCTCCCATTTTCGGCCAGCCTCTGTGTCTGAGTTTTTCCCTGTTTACTCAGCCCCCCTTACTGGAGGTTTCTTGCACACCCCAGAACCTTCGAAAAGGCCCAACCACCAAGGCAGTACTCTACTCATAGTCCAATTTTCCTACCTTGGCTCATGCATGAGGTGGGCTGGTTCCCACGGTGCCTGCTTTTCTCCCTGGGTCACCTCTGCTGCCTCCTGAATAACAGTCTCAGATTTCTCTATGGCTTCTGTGGGGAGCCAGGACGCCTGGACAGAGTGGGCCACCTAAATCAGGTGGGATGTATCTCCTCTCTTGGCCGGAATACCACTCCATGCAGGCATAGAGACCCCGGATGGGTCCCCAGGTTGTGAGAGACATGCTCACCTGTCCAAACCCAAAGAATGGACTTAGAGGGACAAAGAACAGCGAAAGTGAGACTTTTAATAATGGTCTTGCAAGATTGGGCGTCCGGTGGGCAGGCACACCTGGGGCAGTCACAAGAGATAATTTATCTCCTAGCACACAAGTCCCTTCCCCAGTTCCTCACTGGCGGAGTACTATGGGGTTACAATCTTCCCAGACATCGCCTGAGTTTCATTATCCCCCTTATAAGGTTATAACCCGTCCCCTTCCCCACTTAACTTTTGATTTCCCAATAACAAAACTTTCTTCCCTTTTATGGGCTGACCCCTCCTCTACATTCTGTTCACTTATCGTGGCCTTTTGGTGCATGAGCCATGTGGTTTGTTACATTTGCAGGCTGGCTGCCAGTACTTAGATTTATCATGCCTTGAAAATGGACCATTTAAAATTTTTTCTCACGTCAGAAATATATCAAGTTAGCATAAGAAATGTGAAAAGCGCCAGGCGCAGTGGCTCATGCCTGTAATCCCAGCACTCTGGGAGGCCGAGGCAGGCGGATCACAAGGTCAGGAGATCGAGACCATCCTGGCTAACACAGTGAAACCCCGTCTCTACTAAAAAAAAAAAATACAAAAAATTAGCTGGGCCTGGTGGCGGGCACCTGTAGTCCCAGCTACTTGGGAGGCTGAGGCAGGAGAATGGCGTGAACCCGGGAGGCGGAGCTTGCAGTGAGCTGAGATCGCGCCACTACACTCCAGCACTCCAGCCTGGGAGACAGAGCCAGACTCCGTCTCCAAAAAAAAAAAAAAAGAAAAAAGAAATGTGAAAAGCATAGTCTCTGGGAGAAAAATATCTACAATTCTTTAAAACAGAATGTGAACCATGAAATGTTCATACAAATGCATGTGTGTGGAAAACTACAAAATACAAAGTGGGAAAATACAAGAATTTGTCTTGCTTCAATGTTTACCTGTGATGTGTCATGTCCCAGGCTTATGCATTCTAATTTCTGAAATGGTAGATATGTAAATAAATCCTTTTTTTTTTTTTTTTTTGAGGAGTCTCGCTCTGTTGCCCAGGCTGGAGTGCAGTGGCATGATCTTGGCTCACTGCAAGCTCTGCCTCCCAGGTTCACGCCATTACCCCGCCTCAGCCTCCTGTGTAGCTGGGACTACAGGCACCCGCTACCATGCCTGGCTAATTTTTTTTTTTTTTTTTTTTTTTTTTTTTTTAGTAGAGACGGGGTTTCACCGTGTTAGCCGGGATGGTCTCAATCTCCTGACCTCGTGATCTGCCCGCCTTGGCCTCCCAAAGTGCTGGGATTACAGGCATAAACCACCACGCCCGGCCAATAAATCCTTTTTAAAGAGTTTTTACCAAGATGGTATTATAGAGAGTATGTCAATTGGTAAGCAATCTTTTTACCATGTGCGTATTCAACCAAATTTATTTTTGAACATTCAGAACACCAGATTATCACAGATTAAAAAGAAAGCACCAAAAATTACTACACATTAATACCTGAGCAGAGACTGAAGGCAAATATTCATCTATTAAACCTACACCATAATGCTCAAACACAGGTAAAAACATTCACAACACACTCTACAGAATATAGTAAGTAGTACTTTTTGTGAATTACAATCACATAAATGTAATAATTTTAATTATACCATATAAAAATACACACAAAATTACACATAAATGTATTTAATATACTATACATTGTACAAAGTACTGGAGATCATGCATGTTTAAATGGAAAGATCAGCAAGGTGACAATCATTTTTTATTATATACTACAGGACAGGTTCCTCTGCACTTGTTAAGTGTTGTTGTTATGCACTGTACTTTCTGGATGGATGAGAAAAAAATAATCAATTTGCAAACAAATGATTACTGAGTCTATCTCAGCATAACACATAGGTTGTCCTCTATAAATTTTTTAACTATAGTATAAAAATTGATGCAGGTTGAGAGCCATTTATTTTATTACATACCCTTGCTCAAACTACCTTCATGTCAATAAGATCATGTTTTAAGGAAAGACATTTTCTTTGTATGTGTTTTTAGAGAAATCTATATTTTTGTCTGGCGAGTAGGTAGTGGAGGTAAAATGGGAAAACAATGTGTTGAGTTTACTTTCAAAATTGAAATTGAAAAATATACAACAACTGTGAGTACACAGAAATGTGGGCATCTTTTATCAGAGACCATGATTATCCTGTGAATAAAATAATTTGGACCTTAATATAAATTATATCCATTATTTTAAATAAGCACAGTAAAAATGCAAGTCTACATTTTTTTAAAAACTGAAGCCCGTTTTCTCTTGAAGCCTTAAAAATATATAGGAAGAAAAAAGAGAAGGAAAAATGAGAGGAAATAATGTTTTAAAATATACTACATGAATGAGTTTATTAATTATTAAAAATAATTATTGTGTAAATTAACCTTATTTGATATATATAAGCCTCAATAAGTTCAGAAAGAATGAGCACAAGTCAAAGAATTCATGTCTTTGACAGATTACTCATTAATAAGACAAAAAATTACATTTGAAGATTAGTTTTTCCAAGTGTGGTAAGTTCAGAACAATGCTACCACCTTCTCCTAGAATATTTTTTCAGAAACCTAAGCCAAACCTAATTTTCTACATCTATGTAGCGTAAGTCTACTTTAATTCAAAATGAGAACTCTGAAAATTAAGGGAGGCCTCTACAGCAATAGTTCTGGAAATACTAAAGGAAATACCAGTCAACTTTTATTTTAAACTTTTATTTCACCAACCTCGAAGACAAGGATTTGGGGCCAATTTGAGAGGACCACCCATAATAAAATGTACAGTTATAAAATTGCAGGGCACTCTTTATCATTTCAAGGCACACTCTGTTTTATCCCAAATGACTATAAGTTCAAGGTCACAGTGATGATATATATTCAATTTTGGTCTGGTTTCTCATGGGTATGTTGTTATATTTATAGCCAGTCATAAGCTTCAGAAACTATAATACAATCACTTCAAAATAATATGTCATTTTTATATTTTTAAAAATGTAAATATGTAACATAATTTCCTAATTTATATACAGTATAAATCGGGAGTTTTTTTTCCACTGCACAGTGGAGGAAGGGAAGGTTATTTCTACCAGTATTCCAACAAATACATATTTGATTATATAGAAAGCATGATTATGTTAAATACAGGCATCTCCTACTTAGAATACAATTATTCAACACAAAAGATGAACTCATTTCAAAGAACAATGTAAACTGAACTTAGGCCTTGTACACTATCTTTTTACTAATAACACCTATGGTCCCCATTAGAATAAACTGTCACTAAATCAAGGCCAGAGATTTCGATATTTGGCTTTCTGTCCTGCCTCCTTACTTCCAAGGCTATTTATGCAAACTGCATCAACATTACTGGGCAGAGAAATACTTAGTAATATTAAATTATGGGGAAAACTATAATATGAGGAACTGAAATTTCCTTAGAATCTTTATGGGGAGAAATTGAAGCACTTAATGCTGATAAAAAATAATTTCTAAGCCTATCACATTTTCTACTTTTCTTCCATGAGAACAACATATTAATGTTAACACTTTAGTATTAATATCTTGTTTTATAATATTTTCCTTTAAGATACGCATATTAAAAGGTTGTACTATGTTAGGTTCCAGTGGACAAGTTCCCCTGTGAAACATGTGACTATATAAAGAGACTGAATGGAAATACATAAAAAACAAAAGAAATTCCACAGTCACCTTTCAACTACATAAATGAGACACCTGTACTAAAATGGCTTGTACAACAATGTACATCACAAATTAAATCTGAAGCAAGATTACTTCAAATAATTATTTCAATGAATTGCTGAAAGATCATTACTAGGCAAACTTTTACCCAATAAAATCAGAAAACATTCAAGCAATCACACAAAATAGAACACACTAGGCTACAAATCTTGAATATTTTCAAAGAAAAATTAGGGTATGAAATATAAGTTTTCATGGTTTAAACATTTATTGTAAGTCCTAGATGAAACATACTGAAAAGATTATTTTTGCTTTAATCCTAATATGCTAAGAAAAGTTCATTGGCACAAATATCCAGAGGTATTTTACAGTTTCATTTACCTTTGGTGGCAAAGAGTATTTTGCTAACCGTATGGATACAGTCACATAGTTTCCAATGCACAGCTTTATGCTAAAGAGAATTCAAATGTGTCTCTTTTTTTTGCTAAAAAAGGGATGTAAAAAGTCCAATATGAAACAGAACGAGTGCAACACGAAATACAAAATATGCCTATCATGTAGGCTTTTGAACAGTTAATAGCTCTACGTGTTATCTATAAACATTTTTTACTAGTAACATCACTATTGTATAAATATTAAAAACAAAAATGACATTAAAAAATAGCATATGAACTTTACAAAAATGGCTACTTTTAGTCTTCCTAAACTAAAATCGGAATTCAAATACGCAAACAAATCTACACTAACTAATCAAAACACACCAACAGATACAGTTTTTCATAAGTGTTCAAAGTTACAATGTACAGAATGAGTACAGACAGATTCTGACTCATATATCAAGTCCTATACAAAGTCTTCAGAAATTAACTGATTAATTGGTATTTCAAAACACAGATTGTTTTTGGCAGCATAACATGCCAAACACTTTCAGAAAGTCCTGTACTTTATTTAAAAGTTATCAACCGTAGACAATTAAGACAGCTTAGAATATCACCTTTTGAAGGACATGTTATGAATTTACACTGTTAATGGAAAAACAGCTTGATTATTCTCACAATTTCCAAATGTTATTCTGTTGTCAAAACTAAGTTATTAACAGATAATAAATTCATATAAGTTCTTCTGTACTCAATACAATTTATCAAAAAATGTGACTTCTTGAGCATTTGCAGTATACATATTTGGATTTGGATTACTGACCTGACTTTTCTTTCCTATTATTCTTATTAAAAGTAAAGAATGGTAGTAGCTTCACAGCTTTCCTATTTCCTCAGGCTATTAAACATATTGTGAAAGAATGCATGAGTAATGGGTAAACATAAAAGTTCATTACAGAATTTAAAACATTCTTAGTTCAAAAAAAAACTGGAATAAAATTTTGGCTCCTAATCAACTTACTATGCTGTAAAAGTCCCTTCTACATTTACCTTACTAGGAAAGAAAGTTTTCTGGCAGGGTGTAATTTTATAATACAAACATATTACTGCTTTCTTATCCTGGCAAATGTCATGCACTCCAAATGGATTTTCCCCAGTAAATTTTACAAAGTATCTTGTTTCCTGTAATATACAAGTTCACAAATCCTACACAATGAGAAAACAAAAAGCAATCATGAAAAATAATCAACAAATGCCTAGTCATAGAAAGTCCCAACACATTTTCATTTTTCCCAAATGATTAATAATAACCAGTTACTAAACTTCAAATGCAGCACTGTAAAGTTTCACACTGAACCTAATAATAATGCAAGACATTATGCTAATTTGGACCTAACACCTAAAATGAAAATGTGGGTCAACTGATTTATCTGGGGGTTCAGAAATCAACAGCCCTAGTTTAATTCATAGTTTTGTGTTTCCTCCATTTCCCAGAGCTTTCAAGAACTAAACTGAAAACTGAATTTTACCACCTTTTATTTCCCTTGGCCACAAAGGGTGCTAATAAACAGCAAGATGAAATGAATGCACTATACTAAATGTGAGAAGTCTGAAGAATTAAGAAAAGTATAGGAACTAGGCCAGGTGGTCATGCCTGAAATCCCACTACTTTGGGAGGCCGAGGTGGGAGGATCGCTTGAAACCAGGAGTTCAAGATCAGCTTGGGCAACAAACTGAAACCTCGTCTCTACAAAAAAATTAAAAAGTCAGGCACAGTGGCATGTACCTGTAGTCTCACCTGCTGTGGGAGGCTGAGATGGGAGGATCACATGAGCCAAAGAGTTCAAGGCTGCAGTGAACTATGACCGCCCCATTGGACTCCAGCCTGGGTGACAGAATGAGACTCTGTTTCTAAAGAAAAAACATATAGGAACTAAATAATGAACAAAACAAATAATCCACCTCATGTAAGTTTGTGTGAATTTTGGAAATGAGTAGTATCACATGAATGACAAGACAACCAACAACAAACACTATGCCTATTACAGTTATTTCTTCTTTTTTCCTTACTATATAATCATGTAGATTAGTAGTATAGTTCACTCAAGAAGGGGTATTCCATTATATAGATCTGAATTTGTCTAGCCAAAATATGAAAAAATAAAGATTAATCAATACATGATCAATATATATTGAAGAGACTCAAACTCAATGTTAACCAGGCACAGATGGCTTTTCTAGAGTCATCACTTTAAATATTTTCATTCTGGTGATAACCAAGAGAAAAAAAAGAGTTAGCAGAACCTGTTTAATTTCTGGCATAAAAAAGATCCAGGAAAAAAAACAGTGTTAGCAATCTCTACCTATTATCAGTTCCAAATTACAATCAGTAGTAACTCCAAAGGAGGCTTTAGAAATACTAAATGTTCCCAGTGTTTTCCTCTGTACAGACTATATTTGATCTGGTTATCAACAATAGGGTCTAGGAGTTAAGCACAAAACTTACTCATAACTCAATTGCTAAATTAGAAGGCATAACAGTTGCTGTAAAAGTTGAGCTCAGAAATTTCCTGAATTAGATAATCTATAACCGCCAATAAATAATTTCATTTTTGTTAACATTGCTAATAGGGCAGTGCTGTTTAACCAGCCAATAATATAGATTGTGGGCATGATGAAAACTGTGTAATTTAAAGGCAAAGAACTTTCCTTTTCTCAAGTGACAGAAACGTCCATTTTGCTAATCTTCAAAGAGCCCACCTTCGCATCTCTGGTAGCCAGCTGGGTTTAAAGTGCATCAAGACTCAATGAAGACCCTGTCAAAATGTAAGTGTATACATATGTGTCTGTATATATACACATATAATGGCTAAAGACCCAACCTACTATTGATTATAAAATGTTTAATTAGAATCATTTTTGTAGTCCTTAAAATGAAATTTTTTTTGGCATAAATAATACTTTAGGACTTGGTGATAACTACATTCCCATGAAAATATTTGAGTGAGAATTAGTGTACCTAGTCTGCTGCTTTAAAAAGTAAATGTACGGCTGGGCGTGGTGGCTCACGCCTGTAATCCCAGCACTTTGGGGAGGCAGAGGCGGGCAAATCACGAGGTCAAGAGTTTGAGACCAGCCTAGCCAACATGGTGAAACCCCGTCTCTACTAAAAATACAAAAATTAGCCAGGTGTGGTGGCGGGTGTCTGTAGTCCCAGCTACTCGGGAGGCTGAGGCAGGGGCATCACTTGCACCTGGGAGGTGGAGGTTGCAGTGAGCTGAAATCGCGCCACTGCACTCCAGCCTGGTGACAGCGTGAGACTCCATCTCAAAAACAAACAAACAAACAAACAAAAAGCAAATGTACTACTCACAAATGAGAAATTGAAGCTTGTTACATTCATGAACAGTACTAACTAAACAAAGAGGTTTTAGAATACATAAACATAATATTTATGGCTATCAATAGAAGATCCAAATTAATGAATTTTCTAAAGTTCTTTCTGTATATGGAACTAAGTCCAAATTCAGAAATAGTTTAAGGACACATGTAATCTGTAACTTGAGATACACTAAAATATCAGGTGACAGAATAAAAGACGCAATGTGTATCAAAGTTGTTTATAAGTATAGTTAAACATAGGGAGATGTGTCCCTATTTAAACATATACGTGGTATGCCATGGGACAAGTATATAATCTAATAAATTCTCTCTCTTTCCTCTCCAGCTGAAACATATAGCACTTTGTATTTTATCTCTTCTGCTACTTCTCTCAAACAAACAAGCACCTGTCTGCCATATCCCCACCACGAGTTTATCATTTCCCTTTAATGTTCTCAGTAAGTTAAAATATGAATACTGAAAAACATGCTCAAAGCTAGAAAAGACAACAATGGGATCAAACAAACTTAAAACCCTCAGAGATGAGAGCAAGACTCCCTTCAACTGAGGCCAAAATAGCCAGGACCTGAGGAAGAACTGAGAAGAGAAGTTAGGTAACTCTCTACAGGCAGTAAGCAGAAGTAACTGTCCACAGGCAGTAACAGCTGAGAGGCTGTAATGGAATCCAGATGCAATGGCAGATAAAATAAAACTGGTGCTCGAGGACATCCCTGGGTACTAACAAGGATACATATTCACAAGTGCAATGGTGGAATCACTGGAAATTTACATGAGAGGCTTTGTGGAATCACTAAAACTTTAGTTGAGAGGATTTGGGCATTTACAGTCTACACATCTAGAAGAACTCTATAAGCCGGGTATGTCTCAGCCTGAGTTTACGCTATCCTAAGGCAAAGAGTATACTCTTCTGCCTTGCCGATTACCTTCTTCCTACTCTTGTAGCTAAAAGTGACGTAAATTCTGAAATGAAATAAAATGTTACTCTTATTTGTCAAACAGTAATCCCAGAAGTCACCTAGGCAAATCAAGATTCCACTGTTAAACCTAGTGGCTAATGTCTCCAATTTATTCAGGTGTACTGTTTATACTCATGCTACTAATGGGTTAACAGTTGTCTACTGATATTCCATTAATAGTATAATATTATACATCAAATGTGATGTTACCTTGATCATGTTGTTGTTGTTGTTTTTTCCCACAGCAGAAAAAATGGTACAAACCTAGAGTTTCCAACCACTGGAATTTAGTTATTTTAACAATCCATTATGACCTCAGGCACTTTTGGCAACCATGGTGCAATGAATTGAATCCAATGGTATAAACTAAACAACTGAACTGCTCCAATACCAGGAAGCAAATAGCTACGAGCATTTTTTCTTTACATTTAACAGCAGACCTCTTTAATAGTCTCCTGATGTTCACCGAGAATATATAGTAAGATTCATATTTGAAAAATAGCAAGAAAAATTGTGTAAGTTTGAATCATGTTTCCACCCATCAATCTTGCATTGGTTACCAAGAAAACATATCTCCTTACCATTCAAAGCTCTATTTTCATAGATGTAAGAAGACAAGATCCACTTTGTTCATGGTGGCTGCCAAAAACTAACCAAAGGCTTTCTGTGGCTATTTAACCTTTGAGAAACCAAACAGCTATAAATTTCATCAGTTATTTAAAGACTTATTTCTTAATAGGTAAACTATAGCAAATTCAAAATAACCTACTTTTGTGAAAAAAAGTTTGATGAAATGAGCAGAATGCTTGCAGTGAGACTGCAAATAATGCTGCATCTACTAAATCTCTCATATCAGACTTCTCGTACAGTTGATAAAACAGACTATTTTATATGCACAGGAGTCCTCAATGATAGTGATCACCATATATCCCTTCATGAATTTTTCAAAAATGATTACTACATGGATTCCACACCACAAAACAAAACCATGCTTCAACTACTTCCCTCAAACATTACAAAACTAATTTCCTATTTTCAATATTGTAAAAATAGACTTGTCTTCTCCAAAGGATCTTGCTGTCCATACTGATGGATCTGTGTGTTCCCTCTTATCACTGGCCCTAAACACATAAATTATCTTCATCATTCCTTAAGTCCAATCTTACATAAAGTTGCATAATGCATGGAGTAAAAGAGGAATGAAGACAAAGCATGGAAGCCTATATAAATGTGCTGACCCAAAAGCAATCACACCAACAGCCAGAGGAAGTGGAAATTGTGAAGTAGTCTTCAACAATTTACTGTAAAGAGACAGAGAAATATACATTACTTATGTGAACTACATTGTGAGCCAAAATTATATCAATCTTTTATACAGTTTTGGAAAGATAAATATTCTAAGTGAATTTAAATGAATTTTTAATGATATGAATTTACCTATTCATAATTTCTTTTTTTATTTTTGAGATGGAGTCTCACTCTGTTGCCCAGGCTGGAGTGCAGTGGCGCAATCTCGGCTCACTGCAAGCTCCGCCTCCCGGGTTCATGCCATTCTCCTGCCTCAGCCTCCCGAGTAGCTGGGACTACAGGCGCCCGCCACCACACCTGGCTAATTTTTTGTATTTTTAGTAGAGACGGGGTTTCACTGTGTTAGCCAGGATGGTCTCGATCTCCTGACCTCGTGATCCACCCGCCTTGGCCTCCCAAAATGCTGGGATTACAGGCGTGAGCCACCACGCCTGGCCTACCTATTCATAATTTTTAAAAAGGTCAATACAAGCCATACTTGGCTAGAAAAGAAAAATATTTCTATTTAAAAAATAGCCAGTTTTATTTAGTCTTTCTAATTTTAAAAACAGAAAAATACTAGTTGGACTTTTATTCAGTAGTTCCACTTCTAGAAATTTATCCTAACAAAATAATCAATAATGTTCAATAAGACATAGCTACAGAAATGTTTATTTTAACCCTACTTATAAAAAAAAAAAACAAAAAACCAAAGAACCATCTTACATTCCCAAAACAAGGAGTATAAAGAGAAAAATACTATCAGAAAAGACAATTACCTTTTTACTCTGAAAATAGAGAAACTGAGAATAAGAGGGGTTAAGAAATGTAACTAAAGACAGAGCTATTAAATATTTGGCAGAACCAGGATTTAAACTCCAGGTCGGCCTGATTCTAAAATATCTGCAAATATCTGGCAGAATCAACTGAAAAGACTCCCAGAGCAAACAACAAGTGAATGAAAAATCAGGTTTTATTATGGAAAATTTGAAACTACAAAAGTAGACTAACAGTATAATGAACCCTCATGTAAGCATTACTCAGCCTCAAAAATTATCAAATCATGGCCAATTTTATCTCACCAATATCTCCATCCACTTCTCTTGTTTGCTTTTTGGGAAGCAAATCTTAGATCATGTCTTTATAGGGTTAACTTCATAAAGAAAAAAAAACTGCATTATATTCTATCAAATAAAACCTATAATTAAGAAAACAAGTATACTTGCATATAAACCATAATACTATTATGGCTTTACTTTTAGGAATATTTAAATTAATTAGAAATAAAGAGTATATTTTAGATATAAAGGGGGAAAAAGGCCAAGAACAGATATAAGAAAAAGAAAGATTAAACTACTGTACCTTGATTTTATTGAAACAGTGTAAGTATTTCCAAGAATTGCCATAGTCGGAATAAGGATAAATGCCAAAGGTTTACATGGATCAGGATTAAGTTTAAAATAATACCTATAATATTAAAAAAAGAAACCCACAAATCAACAATGACCTGATCATTTTAAATTATCAGAATCAAGAGGATAAATATTGTTAAAGACATTCCAGTAGCAATATGGATATAAGAGAGCTCTAAATAGTTCATGAAATATCTGATAAATAATTTTTGTTCTACATCATCTTTGTATTCAAGGTTTTAGAAAGAGAATTATGATCAGAAACTACTAAAGGAAATGAAAATAACCGGTATGAAAGCACTTTCTTTTTATAAGCAGTGTATGTTTAAAACGGCATAAAGTTTAAAAAAAAACAAATTACTTAAAATACATGAGTACTACTCTATAACAAAAAAGATAAAATGAAGGTTCATGAAGTTAATTGTCCCTTATCTTTTTAAAAATCCAATTCATTTCTTGCATTTACTGACAGTAAAATGTCTATAGCCTTTCAGAACCAAAAATTTGTGCTCCTCAAATAATTCTGACAGCAAATCTGTGAACAAACATCTGGATATTGACTAAAATAAGGAACAGATATAAAAGAAGGATATTAAAATCTAGCAACCTTTGATTTAATTTGAACTTATTTTGGTTCTGCCAACTTAAAAAAATTCCCAGTATTTAGATAACTTGAAAGTTTTATATCATTTTTGAAAACTACATTGAATAGGGGTTCAACTACTACTTGGATGAAGTGGCCTTTTATTTAGCAATTGACCAATTAATAAAAATACAGTTCACCCTTTTGGGCTGATTTTTTGAAAAGTTTATATTCCCGAAGTTTATATACACATAGTAAGGGAGAAAATGTGAATGTATTAAAAATAAATTGCTTGAACCCAGAAGGCGGAAGTTGCAGTGAGCTGAGATCGCGCCACTGCACTCCACCTGGGCAACAAAGCGGGACTCCATCTCAAAAAATTAAAAATAAATAAATAAATAAATAAATTTCAGGTAATGTATAGCTTCCTGTTCCTGAGGAATTTTCATTAACCATTAGGAATCTAGCAAGTCTCTACTTAGGGATATTTATTGTTTGAACCACATAAACAATAATTATATCAATAAAACGCACCTAAGATTCTTTAGCCAATAAATTAGAGAAGGCATGCTGAGTAATACAATCCATGTTAGTAAGTTAATCACAGTACTGTGCATGCGAAGGCTATCTTCAGCATCGTTGGCAGATAAACGAAGATGGTGTATTGAGGAGTCTTTATGATGATTGGATTTCTTTTCACTTCTTCTAGAGTGTTTGGGATTCTATAAAACAATAAAGTAGAAATATCAAGACACTAAACAAAAGTATATTACTTTATTTAGAATCATACTCATTACTTATCAACTAAATAAGTACATCTTTCCATTACCAAACTGACATAAAATCCTGAAATTACTTTGCTTAAAAATACTTTAAAATTGTTATAAAACCTTTATTCTTTTGACTTGCTAGTTCTACTGCTAAGAATATATCTAAGTAATTATTCAAAATAAAATTTAATAGACAATAAACTTGTAAAAAAATGACATGGGTACTGACAAAAGATGAACTTATAAGTCTTTTAAAATATTCATTAGGTTCACTTTACTTAAATTCATAATACTGTATCTTTTAAGCACTATGAAATACTAACCTTAAAAAAAAAAACTCTTATATTTCCCCATGTTCTTTCATTTTAAATTTATGTAGAGTTTTGAAAATAAAACTTACCACAGGCTGGCTATTCTTAAAAGTTGTTAAGCTGGCTTGCAGATGAACAACCTAAGAAAAATAAATTGCTCTTTAATTTTACTTTTATTTTGAAACAAAACATATAAGCCTTTTGGTATTAAAAATGAGAAGCACTGTAATCTGAAATGTTTAAAATGTAAACCAAAAAGTCATTTAAACATTTAAAAACATTCTTATACAAAACAACAACTACACATGCTGGCTATCATGGATTAAAAAACAAACAAAAGCAACAAACAAATGAACAAAAAAACGGAAACAGAAACAAAACAATACAAACTTCTGGAGTATGGTGGGGCCAGGATATACCGCTATACCTTTTATAACCTGTAAAAGCCTATGTTTGAATGATGCTTTGTTATAGCAACTTAAAGTGTCTTGTAAGTCAAAGATTTCATTACATTCAATATAGTAAAAGGATATAACACATTTCACATATTTTAAGTCTTTGAAAACCAGAACCCAATTATATACAGTGGTGAAATGTTTATAAGAACTGAAAAAAATCTTTAAATTTAATTTATTAGGGTTACTTAAGTATTTAAGAAAACTTTGCTTAGTGGGTCAGTGGTTTGAATTACCTAATTTAAAAAATACTAAAATTATTATTTATAAATCAAAGTAGCTGTAAATAATTTTTTAAGAAGCATATAAATTTCCTTTGGAAAACTGAAAATAATATATGATATGCATGTATTTACACTTTTAAAAATTTCATTTTTAAGGAAAAAAAGAATTATCCACTCTGATGTCAACTGTCTGTTCCTAAGAATAACATGGAGAGAATACACTTGTATTACCTCCTGGATTTTTTTTTTTTTCTTTGCAAAGCTGTCAGCTTTATCAGACACGTTTTTCACTTCTTCAGTAAAAATATTAGCCTAATTATTTTTATTGTCATCTTCTGATCCTTCAGCAACATTTGTAACATTTTATATTATCTTAGTATGATTAATAGCTTGATCCTACTGACATCACTTTTTGTTTCGTCTCTTACCCATGTTCAAAAAGAGGTGTGAATATAAACTGCCCTAGTGAAATGTTAAAAAAAAAAAAAAATTTAACACTTGTAAAGACTAAGAAGCAAGCAGAAACAGATTATATCTTCTCCTTTCCCTTTCCTTTTTAACAACAAAAAAACCCCAACTTAGATCAATAATTTCCCTTTTCCAGTTAATTGTATGTAATTTAAATAACTAATTACATTCAAACCCGTTATGTAACAGAGGGTTACTACAGTGTTTATGAGAATTTTTGTTAACAATGCCTACGGAACATCCTACATGTATGTGCCTAATACAAAGCTCAATCATTTTGGCTTTACTGATTTGACATACCTTAAACACATAGTAAAGATAAGAAAGAAGTATGGCTAGTGCTCCACAAGTTGTCCAACTAACTATGATCAAGACAATTGTCAAAAAGGGCAAGTCTGGTGATATCATCTTGATATCTTTAGGAAGTTCAGAGGGTCTGGAATTATAAGAATAAAGTTTAAAATATATATTAACAAATATTTATATAGTCACATATAAGAAGAAAACAATATAGTACCCTCCCAGTCTCTCTTGCTTATATGCAAATACATAAGGTAAACAACAAGGTATTTTTTAAATAAAGGCAAGTGGTCCCAAATATTTGATTTTAAGTTCTGTAATGTATTGTGATAACTCCTCTACCATTTTGATAATACTATAGCTGATACTTGTACTACAGGTGAAAAAATGTTACCAAAGATAATCATTAATTATACACTCTGTGCCATACATCTCCAGTCTTGACAGGAGGAGAAACTATGTTCTATTTCTTAAAGCCTAGAGACCACTCAGACCCTTGATGGTGTTACTATCAGAACCCCTATCTGAAGCATCTCAGAAGGGTGGAGGAAGAAGCATCACACCCACCATAATCCCCTCTGTGACAGGAAATCACATGACATGTCTGGTAAGGAGGAGTGGCAATGGGCACTAGATTGATGATTTACCAGGAAAGCCTACCAGTAACTTCAGATTCAAACTGTGTCATTGGGCCCATAATAAAACTCTAGGCAATGTTTTTGGAGCTTTTATATATCTCATCTAATCTGATCCTAATATCTGGTTTACAGTCTCTTGCCCCCTGGTTTCAATATAGAAGTCAGCATATAAAAGCAATATTATGGGAGAAACAATCCCTCCTGGGAAAGATTCACAACCACGAAATGTAAAACTATCTGCGTAATTTGTCAAACTTTTCTTATTAACTCTTGAGCGCTAAGGTCAAAATCAAATGTAACATTTAACTCTTAATAAATGATTAGCTTTCACAGACATAACTTTGAACACTAACCCATACTTTCGCTAGTTATATATTTTTCCTTAGAAAATAGTTTAGTAAAAATAATTAATTTCAGGTTCCTTATCAGAATATATATTTCTTCTTAAAGCAATAAGAAAGCTGTTAATCATTCATTCTTTACCTTTTCAAAGCTAGCCACAATGAAGAAAGAAGTCTCACAGATGCAGAAGACAGTAGGCCACTCCAGTAGGCAGTACACGTTCCAAACAGAAAGAGAATCAAGGATATCAGGGGGAAACACATACTCTGACAAGTTAAAATGACGGCATCTAATTCTGGTAACAATAATACATCCCACAATTCTTTAAACCATTTATACCTGTGGAGAAAAGAAAATATAAAAGCAAAAAACCCAACAACTGAAATTTAAGGACTTAATATTTGAGGTGTCTGACTATTCAAGAGAGTCTCTAAAGTTCCATGATACTTAATTTATAATTATACTGAAAAACAAATTTTTAATTCTTTGTATGGAACAAGTCATTTATTTTCCAAGTGAGCCTACTGATCTTTGAAGATCTGCATTTCAGTATAGCTTTACTAATCTATATTGATACTAGTAGAAAGTAATATGTTCTTTTTTTTTTTTTTTTTAGAAAGCCAAGTTAGTTGTAATGATGGAAAAAAAGATCTACATATTGATGCTTAACCAAAAATCTGAAAATGTGACTAAATTAAGAATGGAATGTTAACTAGGGTAGAGAGGTCTAAAATATACTTTTAAAAGTGATCAGAGAGGCACTGTTTCATCAATACCCTGTAATGATTTGCGTTTGAATCTAGGATACTCACAGATCATGGACCATATACACCTATTTACAAACATTAAAGGCAGTCTAAGTTTAGACTGATATACATAAAGTGAATAATTACTTTTGAAATGATACTATTGAAGTAGACATTGATATACTTATTAGACCTTTGCCTAAGAGAAAAAAAAAACCTCATTTAATGAAACAAGTCAACTGCCAAATCTGTATGAAAATTTATATTGCATTATGGAACCAAATATAATGTTACATGTAAAACACAATTAAAATCATTATCACAGATAATAAAACTTACCCCAACAGAAACTTAATGATAATTACAAAAGGATCAACTTTGTATGGTTTGGCTTCTTTATCCAACATGGTAGCATATTCTAAGCAACAACCTGGTGATTTAAAAAAAGTTACATGCAATTTACAGTAATTAAGTATGAGATATACTATATCCCACGTTCTCTAAAACAGCAACATATTTTATGTCAGAGAAAGTAAGGGTCTTCATTACTATCACAGAGACTCTTCTTGAAAGATTAAAAATAGCTGTAATTCAATGGTTCTTATATTAGAGTACACATTCAATCACTTGTAAAAACAAATTCAGGAAGTCAAAGCTGGGGTTTCACCAGCTGTATTTTCACAAAGCTCCACAAGTGATTTAAAAAATTAGCTTTATGGGACAAAATTCTGATATAATTCTTCTATTTAAACATATACAATTTAGTGGTTTTTAGTATATTCAGAATTGTACATCTATCACCACAGTCTTAGAACACTTTCATTACCCACAAAAGAAAGTTTTCTTTTAACTATTACCCCCCAAATTCCCATCCTTTGGCAACCAGTAATCTACTTTCCTTCTCTAAAGATAGGCCTATTCTGAACACTTCACATACATGGAATCATAATATGTGGTCTTTTGTGATGGTCTCCTTCCACTTTTTTCAAGATTCATCCATGTTGTAACATATACCAGTATTTCATTTAATTTCTTTTTAATCAAATTCCTTTTATTCCATTGTATGATTATACTACATTTTATTTTTCCATTCATCAATTGACAGACATTTGGGTTGTTTCTGCTTTTTGGCTGTTATGAATAATACTCCTATGAACATTTGCATATAAGTTTTTGTATGAATATATGCTTTCATTTTTCTTGGTTATATTCCTAGGAATGCAGATGCTGAGTTATGCAATAACTCTGTATTTAGCCATTTGAGGAATTGTCAGACTGTTTTTCACAGTAGCGACACTATTTTACACTCCTACCAGCAGTGTATGAGGGTTCCAGGTTTTCCACATCCTCATTAAAACTTATTATTTGTCTTTTTAAAATTATAGTCGTTCTAGTGGGTATAATCCACAGGTGATTTTTGATAAGCATCCTTGGTTCAGAACTACATATTTAATTGGCTGGATACATAATCCAGTACTTAAAGCCTCTAGATTAACCAGCATCAAATATCCCCTAGATGTACATTCTATATGTCTGAGAATCAATTATCAAGTCAGTTGAAACCAAGAAAAACGAGACCTTTTTCAGACTTTCAAAACAAGATAGACATTTATACTTAAGTCTGGTTCTGGTTGATGTCATAGTGTCAGAATAATTTTTTTTTTTTTTTTTTTTTTATAAAGAGTCTCATTCTGTCACCAGGCTGGAGTGCAGTGGCACGATCTTGGCTCACGGCAACCTCTGCCTCCCGGGTTCATGCCATTCTCCTGCCTCAGCCTTCCGAGTAGCTGGGACTACAGGCACGTGCCACCACGCCTGGCTAATTTTTTTGTATTTTTTTTTTTTTTTAGTAGAGACGGGGTTTCACCGTGTTAGCTAGGATGGTCTGGATCTCCCGACCTCGTGATCCACCCGCCTCAGTCTCCCAAAGTGTTGGGATTACAGGTGTGAGCCACCACACCCAGCCAGAATAATCTCTTAATTAAAAGGCTGGGTCTGGCACAGATCAACTGAATATTGCTTACCACTTCCTGGAATATAGGTTAAATCAGGTTAAAATTAACACTAAAGGCAGACTTGAAATTGTATAAAAGTAACTGAAGGGCACTAAGTAGCTGTAGAAAGATTTGAGTGGAGGGGATTTATGGACTGCTGCTTTAATATATTCAGGCCAAATTCTTTTTTCCCTGCTCCTGCATCCCTTAATCACTGTCCAAGCCCAACGAAACAAAGTTTTAGCCTCCTGGGAAACTAATAACTGCTATACTCCAGGGAAGGTTTTGTCCATTGTACTACAGTTTCTACATCTGCTTCTCCAGATCCATTCTCCACCCCTCACTTTTTCCTGAATTCTGGGAGGCTGACTTTTATAGACTGGCTTCTAGGTAAGTTCAGGAATTAAGAGGTATCAGCAGATAGGAGGGTAGGAGAAAATAAGGTTAGTGTATGTATTTCCTCATCTTTTTCCTGCTGAGCCACAGGGTGGCAGTGGTTGTAGTGTTCCTGCACCCAAGGCTACAGCTCCAGGAATGTTATCCACTCCTAGAGCCCTCTAGGTTTGTTCCTTCTCTTGTCCTGGTACCTTGGAGTACCAGCTGGCTCTGTTACTAGTTTAGCATCTTATCATTTCTTGTTGGTTTCTCTTAACCCTGCACATATACCTTTGAAATAGTCCATTATAATCTCAATTATTCCATTCAGTATGCCAGGATCTAACTGACACAGTTGATGCAGCTCAAATATTACAGTAAATGCCTACTGTGTGCTTGGCACTATCTTAGGCACTAGGAATAGAATGGAGAACAAGATCAGGCTCTACATTTTAAGAAGTCTTCAGACTATAGGAAGAAAACTTCAAGTGCCAGGGTATAAAATGGAGAAAACAAGTGAGGAATTTTCTTGGGGATGTCTTAAAACTTAAGAGGATCCCAAACTCTTGCAAATTTGGGAGAGAGGGACGATAAATTTAAGAAATCATCTGTCTTGTTTAGCCACATGTAGGATGACAAGGCAGCAAGGAAGCATTGGCTCTTGGAAGGAAGGAGGGAAGGAGGAAGGAACAACAGATGGACGGTCAGAAGGAAGGAAGGAAAAATGGAAGGAAGGGAGGAAGGGAGGGAAAGAGGAAGATGAAAAAAAGAGATGGGAGGGGAAGGAAGGGAAGAAAGAAAAGGAAACAAACTAGGATGACAAGGAAGGAAATTAGGGAGTGAGTGTCTCTTATTAGAAGTATACATATTATGAACGATTCTTGCAGCAGCAGCAGCAAAAAAAGAACAGGGATGGGGATTGGTGGGAAATAACCTGAATCTGATCACACCTATAGCTCTAATTATCAATTTATAGAAAATAGAAAAACATGTTCAACTCCAGCAAGGGGATGGAATCAGTAAACTCCAAACATAGAAAATGCAAAAGTATAAAAAAGTTTTATTTGATAAATTATAAGGGGAGAAAAAGAGATGGAGAACAGACCTTACAGATAAAGAAACAATTCAGTTCTGACAATGAAAGTTGTCAGAATCAAAATGGAGTCACTGTTTTTTTGTTTTTTTTAAAAAAAACAAAAAAATAAAAAAACCCTGACAAATAGAGCCAGGGAAGGCTGTGAAGGGAGGGTTCTCATGCTTGTATACATAATAGCAAAACTGTCACAGAAGACTCTGCAAAAACCACAACTCTGCACAAAGGCCACTGCAACCTTACACACACACAAAAATACTTCTCTGAGGACATCTGCCCAGCAACTACTTGTCCAACCTCGGGCTGCCACCACCCTTGTTATGGATCCTTATAGGCAAGGATAATTATTTCAAAACAATTATGTAATCCTCCTCATTTTTTCTTTAACACCCATTGTCTTCCTTTACCTTCCTGAATATGCAAACAATTTACTATGACCTGTGGACTCCTGTTCCAATACCCTATTCCCAAATAAACATTATTTTCTTTTAGAGAGCCCCTCTCTGTTTGTTATTTAGGTTGACATGAAGAGTGTCCAGAGGTAGGACCTTGAATAGGATTACTTTTGGACACAGTTTGTGATGCTTAGAACTGGTGTGCAGTACTCATATGAGCCCCTGGAGCTCTCTGCTTCCACGGCACACCTTTTGTCAGGCCAAGACTCTCTCTCCCTCTAAAATCAAGGTAGAACCTCTTGACTTTATTCTGGATCTGGTAAATAAAGGACCTTACATCTCTCCTGGGATGACAGAAGACCTTTTGTCTTTTCTGGCAAGTCTTTCCTGGTTTAAAGACAAATGTCTTTGTGGTTTGAGGACCCGAGTTTCTACGGAATTTACATTCTGTTCGTTAGACATGTCTTTTCTAGGGAATTTACTTTTGGTTTTCTGTGTGTCAAATTTAATATTTTACGTGATCTGCATTCTACAGGCTACTTTACCCCAAATTTTGTTCCACAGCCTTAATTACATATAGGGGCCCAATTTTGTCAGAAATGTAATTTGGATCTAATTATCTTTCATAAACCAGTGAGTTTGTATTACTACTTTATAATTAAAATCTAATTATCTTTCACAAACCAGTGAGTTTGTATTACTACTTTATAATTAAAATTCCAAAATGAAATCTATAAGGCTTTTGAGTATGTCTATATATGTTCAGGTACATTTATACATATGTACATGTATTGGCATAGTTGGCCAAAAATCCCCTAAGAAATTCTATTCAGATTGGCTTCAATAAATGAGTACTCATACAAATTATATACTAATTAACCCAAGTGTCTTTTAGCTCAGTGACTTAAGTAAATCTTTAATAAATAAGCTGGTTCTCATCTATTAAATACTAATAAGTGACAGTTCAAATTACTTGTTAAATTTAAGGTTACTAAGAGTTAAATTTCTAGTTAAAAATAGAAATTAATTTATAATAACAATTCTAATTAATGTATATAAAATATATCAAAAATAATGTATTATTGATGAGAAAAATTATAAGAAAGGCATACAAATGTGTTCTTTATTGACAAAAAATAATTTTGTCTAATTTGGATGTACTTAAAGGTGTTTCAAAATATAGATTTAGAAAAAAATAGAAACAAGATAGAAAGGAACCAGTAAGTAAGAGAGAGATGTGAATAAAGTTATGGGTTGAGAATGTGTTTTTGGTAAGGAAGGTTAAAAACAAAACAGAATAGTTTTTATAAGAACAACTTATGTGATCCATTTTTGTCCTAAAGTAAAATGACTGGTTATTTAAGAAATAGGAAATACTTGGACAAGACAGAAAGGCTAAGCATGTTATCAAAGGTCTGAGTAAGTCATGAAAAAAGTTGATGAAGAGTGACTTTATGAAAGAAAATTCTGCATGTGATCAAATTGGCTATAAAAGAGATTTGTGTCTTTCTAAAGATTAAGATTCGATATTAAAGATATACTAATGCAAAACTAAAAATTTGGTCCCCTATGTAGAAGCAGCAAGGCTTTCTTGAAATATTCATTTACTCTTAGAAAATTGGAAAGGGTTTTGATTTTTAACTCTGAAATCTGTTTCATTAACAGCCATCCTCTACACTGTCCAGAGTTTCTGTTTCTGCCACATTTCCTCCTGAGATCTGTTCTTCCTCTCTCCCTTTGAGAAGGCCTCAGGGGATAACCTCTCTTTCAACCTTTTTGTCACCTCCTGTAACTTTTTTCTTCAGTTCTAACTGTACTGTTATGGCCTGAGGCCGAAATCTTCATCTAGAAAAACAATGTTTTCCTCTTGGATAACTTGATTCTATATTCTTGGCTTTTCTTGATACATCTCAATTGTTCCATGTAATCAGGAAACTATGTCACATGTTTTTACTTTTTCTAAGAGCCACTTATTCCTCTGTTCCCAATACTAGCTTTCTTGTTTATATTCCTCTATAATATGGGCTTACACTTATAACCTTAGACACATTTTTCCTGTATCTGATTAAATTCAAGTACCCATTCATCAGGTTCGTTCAAGTTCTGGGTTATCTAAATGAGTTTCCCATAAAAAAATGCAGTCACACTGCAACAGACTTTTCTTTATCTTTTGGTAATAAAAAACCTAATAAAGATAACACAGGGAATTACACAGTACTGATGTTTTATAGGATAATTTCCTGTGTTAATCTTTATTAATCTTAAAGCTTAGGATAACTGAGCTTTAAGAAGATTAAGATTTTTACATCCATACAACTTTCTGTATTGCTTTTGAAGTCTTTTACTACTTTAACCGAAATACTATTATTTCACAATGACCTGTGATCCTCTTTTGATCAAGCGTTTTGAACCTTTTGACATATTTGGCAAGCTTCCCAAAGATGAATTTTTTTTTTTTTTTTTTTTTTGGTGGAGGAGTGCAATGGTACAATCATGGTCCACTGTAGCCTCAACCTTCCAAGCTTAAGTAATCCTCCCTTCTCAGACTCCCAAGTGGCTGGGACTACAGGTGTATGTACGCCACCACATATGGCTAATTATTTTTTATTTTTTGTACAGAGAGGGTTTCACCATGTTGCCCAGGATAGTCTTGAATTCCTAGGCTCAAGTGATCCACCCTCCTATGCCTCCTAAAGTGCTCAGAGAACAGGCATGAGCCACCACACACCCGGCCGAAAATTCTAAACTAAGTCTTTTTTACCTAGAATTAATTTTCAGATTTTCTAGTTGGGCCCCTGAAAAGCCTCCAAGAATATATCTCTCATCTTGTAGAGATATTAAATGATTAGGCTTATTTGGTAAATTATATGGAAAACATTGTCAAATGATAAGTGATACTAGATCTTCTTTCAGTTATATTCATGTTATTGATATACTACAAAATTACATAAATTCATAGAAATCAAATATGTTATCAGTCATAATTTTGGCTATGTTAAATCTTCTTTAAAGTTATATTTGTATGGATATGTTATTGATGTCAGCATTTCTAAAAATTACATAAAATTGATAAAAGTCTGATGGTCCTGATATGATGCTGTCAGTCATGATTCTAGGTGATATCTTAAAATGCTGCATGTAACAGAAATAACTAAAATTTCCTTATCACTTTGGGGCTTTCATCAGATTTTAACCATGACTATGATAAGTTTCTGTCATCCACAGTTATTGTTTTAAATTCTTCTCCAAAAGCATTTGCAATCAGCTGTATTGCAATCAAGTTTTTCATGAAAAAACCTTAACAAGAACTCTTTCTTTTTTTTCTCCTTTGAAGACAGGGTCTCACTCTGTTGCCCAGGCTGGAGAGCAGTGTTGCAACTGTAGTTCATTGCAACCTTGAACACCTGGGCTCAAGTGATCCTCCCACCTCAACCTGCTGAATAGCTAAGACTGCAGGCATGTGCCACCATACCCAGCTAATGTATTCTTTTTAAACTTTTTTTTTTTTTTGTAGAAACGGGGCCTCCTTGCCCAGGCTGGTCTCAAACTCCAGACCTCAAAAGTCATCTTCATATCAGCAGGGCACGGTGGCTCACGCCTGTAATCCTAGCACTTTGTGAGGCCAAGGCAGGTGGATTGCCTGAGCTCAGGAGTTTGAGACCAGCCTGGGCAACATGATGAAACCCCTGTCTCTACTAAAATACAAAAAAAATTAGCTGGGTGTAGTGGTGGGCACCTGTAGTCCCAGCTACTGGGGAGGCTGAGGCAGGAGAATCACTTGAACCTGGGAGGCAGAAGTTGCAGTGAGCCTAGATCGAGCCACTGCACTCTAGCCTGGCGACAGAGCGAGACTCTGTCACCAAAAAAAAAAAAAAAAAAAAATGATCCTCATATCTCAGCCTCCCAAAGCATTGATATTACAGGTATAAGCCACCACACCTGTCCAATAAGCACTCTTAAACACAGATTTCTGATAACTTTAAGATTAATTAACTAAATAAAAATTTCCAAAACCCTGATAAAAAACTGATGGGCTCAGGAAACTGCTAATCGAAATCAAGCAGAACAAAAATTAATTACATGAGATTGACCAACTGATAGTGTTTTTATGACTTCTATTTGAAATGTTGGTTCTTCACTTAAAGGTTTTATTTTCCAGATTTAAGGAAAATTTATCTCTTAAGCAGGCAATTTGGTAAAGTATACTTTTCTGAACAAAGATGGAATCATATGCTTTTTCTCTCTACTTGGCTCCTACAAAATTTGGAAACTACCTGAGTATTCTTATGGCCGTATGATTTTTTTTTATAAGTCCAATAAAAATCTGTCCTCTCTTTATAACAGGACACAACTGGAAATATTGTATTGAATGTTAGTTATATTACCACGGCTTTATCAAAAATGTTATATTTGAGAAGATGCACAGAATATCTGACTTTAAGGGTTCCCAGCCTGATAGTGAGTAAATAAAAACTGTCAACTGCTGGCAGGCCTAGGAACCTTAAGACCTTAAAAACCTCAAGAGGTTTTTATTGTTTTTGTTTTTTGTGTGTGTGTGTTTTGTTTTGAGACAGAGTCTCGCTCTGTTGCCCAGGCTGGAGTGCAGCGGCATGATCTCGGCTCACTGAAACTTCTGCCTCCTGGGGTCAAGTGATTCTCGTGCCTCAGTATCCTGAGTGGCTGGGATTACAGGCATACAACACCATGCCTGGCTAATTTTTTTGTATTTTTAGTAGAGATGGGGTTTTTGCCATGCTGGCCAAGCTGGTCTCAAACTCCTGACCTCAGGTCATCAACCTGCCTCAGCCTCCCCAAAGTGCTGGGATTACAGGCATGAGCCACCATGCCCAGCCCTCAAGGTTTTTAAATCTGAGATTGCTATGTGATCAATGTAGAGAGAAAAAAATTATGTTTCTAAATAAAAGCTATAATACACCTGTTATTAGAATGTAGCTCTGTTCATTGTTTTCAAGTTCTTGATAGACTATACTACTTGATAAACTAGACTAGATCCTGCATTCTTCTAGATTCTTCCAATCCAACTTTCTTCCATGGAATTACTAAAAATGAGAAGTGCTTTATTCTGAGAGCCCTGTAAGCTGAAACTAGATGCATTTTAAGAAATAAGCCTCATGTTTGATGTATGGGCCACATAAAAAGTTCACCAAGGCACCTGATGTCATAATCAGAGTCATTCAAACTACAAACCAGGATGAGAAGTTGACACTTCCACTCTTCAGATAGCTTTTCCCAAGATGTCAGAACAAGACTTCATATCATGAGACCCTTACCCTTCTTAGTGACCTTTTTTACTTGAAGGATAATGGTCATTTGATGTATTCAACTGGTTGTGTTTAAGCCTAGGTTCATGGTTCAAAACTATTATGCAAACTGATCATTTTACTTTGTATTTCCCCTTTTTAAACTTTGTTTTTCTTTGTGTCTTCTCTGATTTATTTGAGCTGTGTTTTGTAATTCTCATTGTGGAGATCTTTTGCCTCCCTGGTTAGCTATATTCCTAGGTATTTTATTCTTTTTGTGGCAGTTGTGAATGGGATTGCCTTTCTGAAGTCCTTGCCAGAGCAATCAGGCAAGAGACAGAAATAAAGGGCATCGAAATAGGAAGAGAGGAAGTCAAACTATCTCTGTTTGCAGATGACATGACTCTATACCTAGAAAACCCCATAGTCTCGGCTCAAAAGCTCCTTCAGTTGATAAACGACTTCAGCAAAATTTCAGGATATAAAATCAATGTACGAAAATCACTAGCATTCCTCTATCTGTTAACTTGTTTAAATTTTTGTAGAAATACAACTCCTAACAGTTTAATGCTGGCCCAGCACTTTGAAATGATGGCAAAAGACTATGGAACAAACTAAGCTGAACTTAATAATGGACTCCAGGTAGACTTAGCTTCAGAGCCACTCCCTTCAAACATCCCTCAGTGCTCAAATGTGGCTAAAAGGTTTTTGACACTGACTCCTAGTCACCAATCATTACAATGTGGTATTAGACCAACAACCTGGGACAGGTCTATTCCAGCACCAAGGGATATCAAAATCTAACTATGGGGTGATTGATCAGTGATGCTTTTGGAGAAATATCTTAATCAAAAGGGGAAAATGTGAAACTGGCCAGAATCAACATGGTCATTTGTGTTAAAAACAAACAAACAAACAAACCCTGACAAATAGAGCTGAGGAAGGCTAAGAAGAGAGAGTTCTCACACTTGTATGCTTGATAATAAAACTAACACAAAAGACTGCAACCTGGAACAAAGGCCATATCAACCTTATACAGAAAAAAATTTCTCTGAGAACATCTGCCCAGCAACTGCCTGCTCAACCTCAAACTGGCATCGCCCTTGTTATTCATCCTGGTAGCCAAGAATAATCATTTCAAAACAATTGTAATCCTTTTTATTTTTCCTTCAGCATCCTTTGTCTTCCTTTACCTCCCTGAATATGCATAAGTTTACTGTAGCACACATATTCCCACTGCAGTGCCCTATTACAAATAAACATCATTTTCCTTTAGAGAGCCTCTTTCTGTTTGTTATTTAAGTTGACAAAACTTAAAGAAACGAATGACCAACTGGACTGTGTGGATCTTCTTTGAAAACTCTTTAAAATTTTTTTTAAAAAATTTGACTCCTGGCTGGGTGTGGTGGCTCACGCCTGTAATCCCAGCACTTTGGGAGGCCGAGGTGGGCAGATCACGAGGTCAGGAGATCGAGACCATCCTGGCTAACAAGGTGAAACCCTGTCTCTACTAAAAATACAAAAAAATTAGCTGGGCATGGTGGTGGGTACCTGTAGTCCCAGTTACTCAGGAGACTGAGGCAGGAGAATGGCGTAAACCAGGGAGACAGAGCTTGCAGTTAGCTGAGATCGTACCACCACACTCCAGCCTGGGCGACAGAGCAAGACTCCGTCTCAAAAAAAAAAAATTGACTCCTAAACAATGAATGGGTTAATGAAGAATATTTTTAAAAATTAAAATATTCCTTGAGACAAATAAAAATGGAAACACAATATACCAAAAGCTATGGAATATAGCAAAGAAAGTTCTAAGAGGAGAGTTCATAGCAATACATGCCTAAATCCAAAAAGTAGAAAGACTTCAAATAAAAAACCTAATGATGCATCTCAAGGAACTAGAAAAGCAAGAACAAATGAAAACCAAAATTAGTAGAAGGAATAAAATAATAAAGATCAGAGCAGAAATAAAAGAAATTGAGACTGAAAAAAATACATCAGCTATGAACCAGCTTCAGGGAAAAACAAAAAGATCAACAAAATAAAAAGTTGCTTTTTTGAAAAGTTAACCAAAATCTACAAACTTTTAGCTAGACTAAGAAAAAAAGAGAGAAGATGCAAATAAAATCAGAGACAAAGAAAGAGTTATTACAACTGATACCACAGAAATAGAAAGGATCATTAGAGAATATTATAAACAAATTTAACCCAACAACTTGAAAATCTAGAAGAGACGGATAAATTCTTGGACACATCCAGCCTACCAAGGTTGAATCAAGAAAAAAAAATAGGAAACCTGAACAGACCAATAACAAATAATGAGGCTGGGCATGGTGACTCACACCTGTAATCCCAGCACTTTGGGAGGCTGAGGCAGGCAGATCACCTGAGGTCAGGAGTTCAAGACCAGCCTGGTCAACATGGTGAAACACTGCCTCTACTAAAAATACAAAAATTAGCCAGGTGTGGTGGCACACACCTGTAATCCCAGCTACTTGGGAGACTGAAGCACAAGAATCACTTGAACCTGGGAGAAGGAGGTTGCAGTGAGCCGAGATTGCACTACTGCACTCCAACTTGGGCAACAGAGTGAGACTCTGTCTAAAAACAAACAAACAAAAACCAAGTAATGAGGTTGAAGCAGTAATAAAAAGTCTCCCATCAAAAACAAGCATGGGACCTGATGGCTATGCTGCTGAAATCTATCAAACATTTAAAGAACTAATATCAATACTAGTCAATATTCCAAAAAAAAACACTGAAGAGAAAGAAGTAACTCCAAACTCATTCTATGAGGCCAGCATAACCCTGACACCAAAACCATAAAATAATACAACAAAAAAAGAAAAGTACAGGCCAATATCTCTAATGAACATAAAGGCAAAAATCCTCTACAAAATACTAGCAAACTGACTTCAACAACATATTAAAAATATCATTCACCACGATGAAGTGGGATTCATCCTAGGAATGCAAGGATAGTTCAATATATACAAATCAATCAATATGATAAATAACACAAATGGAATCGAGAAGTATAAAATCATTTCAATAGATGCTGAGAAAGCATTTGATAAAATTCAAAATCCCTTTATGATAAAAACTATTAACAAATTGAATATAAAAAGAACATACCTCAAAACAATAAAGGCCAAATATGACAAACCCACAGCTAACATTATACAAAATGGGAAAAAAAAATTGAAAGCTTTTCCTCCAAGATCTAAATAAGACGAGAATGTCTGTTTTCACTACTTATTCAATAGAGTACTAGAAGTCCTAGCCAGAGCAACTAGGCAAGAGAAAGAAAAAAAGTACATCCAAATTGGAAAAGAAATGGTCAAGTTATCCTTGTTCACAGATGACATGATCCTAGATTTAAAAAATACCTGAAAACTCCACCAAAAAAAACTGTTAGAATTGTTTTTTTTTGAACTCAGTAAAAGTTTCAAGATACAAAATCAACATATAAAAATCAGTAACTTTCTATACACTAATAATGAAAAATCTGAAAAAGAAATCAAGAGGGCTGGGCGCAGTGGCTCATGCCTGTAATCCCAGCACTTTGGGAGGCTGCAGCAGGTGGATCATTTGAGGTCAGGAGTTTGAGACCAGCCTGGCCAACATGGTGAAACCCCATCTCTACTAGAAATACAAAAAAATTAGCTGGGCGTGGTGCCACACGGCTGTAATCCCAGCTATTCAGGAGGCTGAGACAGAAGAATCACTTCAACCTGGGAGGCAGAGTTCGCAATGGGCCGAGATCATGCCATTGCACTCCTGTCTGGGCAACAGAACGAGACTCCATCTCAAAAAAACAAATAAACAAACAAAAAACAAAAAAAATAAATCAAGAGAGTGATCCCATTTACAATTAAATTATATCTAGGAATAAATGTAACCAAAGTAAAATATCTCCACAGTGAAAAATTATAAAACACCAATGAGAGAAACTGAAAAAGACACACGAAAAAATAGAAAGCAATTCCATCTATGTTCATGGATTGAATGATTTAGCATTGTTAAACTGTCTATACTACCTCAAGCAATGTCTAGATTCAATGAAATCCCCATCAAAATACCAATGAGAGTCTTCACTGGTATAGGAAAAACAATCATAAAATCATATGGTACCACAAATGACTGCAAATAGCAAAAAAAGTCCTGAGCAAAAAGAACAAAGCTGGAGGCAATCACATTACCTGACTTCAAAATACACTACAAAGATATGGCAACCAAAACAGTTTAGTACTGGCATAAAACAGATACATAAGCCAATAGAACATAATAGAGAACCCAGAAATCCACTCATTTACAGCCAGCTAATTTTCACTAAAGGCAACCAAAACATACATTGGAGAAAGGATAGTCTTTTCAATAAATGGTGCTGGGAAAACTGGATATTTATATGCAGAAGAAAGAAACTAGATCCCTATCTTTCATCATATGCAAAAATTAAATCAAAATAAAGACTTAAATTTAAAACCCGAAACGACGAAACTACCACAAGAATATATTGGAGAAATGCTTTGGGACACTGGTCTGGGCAAAAATTTTTTGGGTAAGACCTCAAAAGCACATACAATAAAAGCAAAATGAGATAATATCAGGCTAAAAGGCTACTGCACAGCAAAGGCAACAAACAACAAAGTGAAGAGATAAGCCAAAGACTGGGAAAAAATTTTGCAAACTATCCATCTGATAAAGGATTAATAACCAGAATATATAAGGAACTCAAACAACTCAACAGCAAAACAAACAAATACTCTAATTTTAAAAGTGGCCAAAAGATCTGAACAGACATTTCTCAACAGAAGAAATACCAATGGATGGTCAGATGTGGTGGCTCACGCCTGTAATCCCAGCACTTTGGGAGGACAAGGCAGGCAGATCGCCTGAGGTCAGGAGTTTGAGACCAGCCTGAACAACATGGAGAAACCCTGTCTGTTGTGGGAAGTCAGGGACCCCAAATGGAGGGACCGGCTGAAGCCATGGCAGAAGAATGTGGATTGTGAAGATTTCATGGACATTTATTAGTTCCCCAAATTAATACTTTTATAATTTCTTATGCCTGTCTTTACTGCAATCTCTAAACATAAATTGTAAAGATTTCATGGACACTTATCACTCCCCTAATCAATACCCTTGTGATTTCCTAGGCCTGTCTTTACCTTAATCTCTTAATCCTGTCATCTCGTAAGCCGAGGAGGATGTATGTCGCCTCAGGACCATGTGATAATCGTATTAACTGCACAAATTGTACAGCATGTGTGTTTGAACAATATGAAATCTGGGCACCTTGAAAAAAGAACAGGATAACAGCAATGTTTAGGGAACAAGAGAGATAACCTTAAACTGACTGCTAGTGAGCAGGGCAGAACAGAGCCATATTTCTCTTCTTTCAAAAGCAAATGGGAGAAATATCACTGAATTCTTTTTCTCAGCAAGGAACATCCTTAGGAAAGAGAATACGCGCCTGAGGGTAGGTCTATAGACGGGCTCCCTGGGTGTGGCCGTCTTTTATGGTCTGTAGACTGTAGGGGTGAAATAGACCCCAGTCTCTCATAGTGCTCCCAGGCTTATTAGGAAGAGGAAATTCCCGCCTAATAAATTTTGATCAGACCAGTTGCTCTCAAAACCCTGTCTCCTGATAAGATGTTATCAATGACAATGGTGCCCAAAACTTCATTAGCAATTTTAATTTCGCCCCGGTCCTGTGGTCCTGTGATCTCACCCTGCCTCCATTTGCCTTGTGATATTCTATTACCTTGTAAAGTACATGATCTTTGTGACCGACACCCTATTCGTACACTCCCTCCCCTTCTGAAAATCTCTAATAAAAACTTGCTGGTTTTTGCAGCTTGTGGGGCATCACGGAACCTACCAACATGTGATGTCTCTCCCAGACACCCAGCTTTAAAATTTCTCTCTTTTGTACTCTGTCCCCTTATTTCTCAAGCCAGCCAACGCTTAGGGAAAATAGAAAAGAACCTACGTGACTATCGGGGCAGGTTCCCTGATACCTGTCTCTACTAAAAATACAAAATTAGCTGGGCATGGTGGCCCATGCCTGTAATCCCAGCTACTTGGGAGGCTGAGGCAGGAGAATCTCTTGAACCCGGGAGGTGGAGGTTGTGGTGAGCTGAGATCAAGCCATTGCACTCCAGCCTGGGCAACAAGAGCAAAACTCCATCTCAAAAAGAAAAAAGACATACCAATGGCCAACAGATGTATTTTTTTAAATGTTCAACATCACTAATCACCAGTGAAATGTACGTCAAAACCACAATGAGATATTACCTCACCCTAGTTAAAATGGCTTGTTAACAAAAAGACAAAAAATAACAAGTGATAATGAGGATACGGAAAAAGGGGAATGCTAGCACACAATTGGTACAAATGTAAATTAGTACAGCCATTATGAAAAACAGACTGGAGGTCCTTCAAAAAACTACAAATAGATCTGCCATATGACCCAGCAATCTTACTGCTGTATATATTATCCAAAAGAAAGGAAATCAGTCTATCAAAAAGATGTCTGCATCCCCATGTTTACTGTAGCACTCACTATTCACAATGGCCAAAATATGGAATCAACCTAAAGTCCATCAACAAGTGAATGGATAAAGAAAATGGTAATATATACATAATGGAATATTATGTAGACATAAAAAGAATGAAATTCTATCATCTGCAGCAACATGGATATAACTGAAGTACATTATGCTAAAGTGATAAGTCAGGCATAGAAAGACAAATATTATACGCCCTCATTCATATCTGGGAATTTGAAAAGTTGATCTCATGGAGCTAGAGAATAGATGGTTACCAGAGGGTGGGAAAGGTAAAGAGGAGTGGAGGGATGAAGAAAGAATGGTTAATGGGTATAAAAATACAGTTAGAAGAAATAAGGTCTAGCATTTGATAGCACTGCAACCTCTGCCTCCCGGATTCAAGCGATTCTCCTGCCTCAGTCTCCTGGACAGCTAGGATTACAGGCGCCCACCACCAAGCCTGGATAATTTTTTGTGTTTTTAGCAAAGACGGGGTTTCACCATATTGGCCAGGGTGGTCTTGAATTCCTGACCTCAGGTGATCCGCCCGCCTCGGCCTCCCAAAGTGCTGGGATTACAGGCATGAGCCAGTGCCCTGCCAGGATGACTATAGTTAATAATTTATTGTATATTTTAAAATAGCTAGAAGATTTGGAATGTTCCCAACACAAAGAAATGGTAAGTGCTTGAGTTGATGGATATCCTAATTATCCTGATTTGATCTTAACACATTATATGAATGTGTCAAAATATCACATGTACCCCATAAATAGGTACAATTATGTATCAACCAAATAAATTAAAAATAAAATACTTCTTAAAAAGTAATTTGAGGCCGGGTCCGGTGGCTCACGCCTGTAGTCCCAGCACTTTGGGAGGCTGAGGCGGGCAGATCATGAAGTCAGGAGTTCAAGACCAGCCTGGCCAACATGGTGAAACCCCATCTCTACTAAAAATACAAAAATTAGCCGGACATGGTTGCGGGTGCCTGTAATCCCAGCTACTTGGGAGGTTGAGGCAGTAGAATCACATGAACCAGGGAGGTGGAGGTTACAGTGAACCGAGATTGCACCATTGCACTCCAGCCTGGGCAACAAGAGCAAAACTACGTCTCAAAAAAAAAAAAAAAAAAAAAAAAAGGCATTTGATAATATTAGGGCACTATTGTTAATTTTTTGATGTGTATTATGGGGTTAAATGTTTTGCCCCTTTTTACGTCATAAATACTAGCAAATTATTATATGAAGATAATTACACTGCTTGATTCCTATATGTATTTTAAAAAATGACTTAATCTGGTTAGACTCAAAGTTATTCTTTCCATTAAAAATGACACTGATACAAAAGTGACAAGCTAAGAGAATGTTAATAATTTGCAGGTCTTAAGACCACAAATTTAAGGTCTCTGGACTAGCTTCCTCAAACTATTTGGGATTGGTGGTTGATAGTGGAAACGTAATAAAGATGCAGAGAAGGCTCATCATAAAATCACATGCTATTTTGGAATTTTCAAGAACAGAATAGTAGCTACTATTACGTGGCATAATTATAAAAAAATAAATAATAAAAAGGGAGTTCTAAGAACTCTCTTAATTATGTCTCCTGATTCAATATAACAGAATTATATATATAAACACATATGTGGAACTAATAGTCATTCTACTTTAATATTCATAACAAAAGTAACTTAAAAATTAGAAGCATTCTTACCTGTTGAGAAAAGAGAATATAACTGTCCTCTATAAGCAAGAAGGATATTAGATACGACATAAGCAGGAAGAGCTCCACCATGAAATCTAACTACCTAAAAAACAGGTAAGTCAATGGGCAACTCCTGAATATTCATGTTAATAAGTGTACTTTCACATAAAATTTAAAAGTTGCTCTTCAATTTATACCTGACATGGCTACAAAGATATTTCCAGTAATAAGTATCAAAAACTCTAAGTAAAATAAATGTTGAAAATACATAGCAAACTCAAAATGTATCTGAATTTTTCATCAAAGGCATAACAGAACATATAATTGAGTAGCATATATGTCCTGAAAAACTGTTTTTCAGAACACACTGATTATTTAATACGTTCCAGGCACAACAGTAAACACCTTATATGCATTATCTCATGTACTTCTCCCAATATCCTTTGAGGTAGTTCTTATCCCTATTCTATAGACAAAGAAATTCAGGCATCAGAGCCCAACTAACTTGTATAATTTAAAACATAATAGGCAAGTTACTTAGCTTCCCCTCTCTATGTCTTTATCAGTAAATGGGGACAATACTAGTATGTACCTTATAGGTAGTTATTAGGATTAGACATGCATATTTGTGTAAGGCATTCAGAATATTAACTCATATATAACAAGTTATGAGAAAATGTTAATTGCTTTATTAACTTTTTATGTCCTTCACTGTGTTTGAAAATCTTATGGAACTATAAGTTTTAAAATCAGTGCCTAAGTTCATAATCATTACGTTATAGTGCAAGTCATTCTATCAGCTCTCTATAAAATACATATAATAACAAAAACAAGCATTCCTATACACCAGTAACAGACAAACAGAGAGCCAAATCACGAGTAACTCCCATTCACAATTGCTACAAAGAGAATAAAATACCTAGGAATACAACTTACAAGGGATATGAAGGACCTCTTCAAGGAAACTACAAACCACTGCTTAGGGAAATAAGAGAGGACACAAATAAATGGAAAAACATTTCATGCTCATGGATAGGAAGAATCAATATCATAAAAATGGCCATACTGCCCAGAGTAATTTATAGATTCAATGTTATCCGCATCAAGCTACCATTGTCTTTCTTCACAGAATTAGAAAAAAACTACTTTGTTTCATATGGAACCAAAAAAGAGCCAGCATAGCCAAGACAATCCTAAGCAAAAGTAACAATGCTGGAGGCATCACTCTACCTGACTTCAAACTATACTACAAAGCTACAGTAACCAAAACAATATGGTACTGGTACCAAAACAGATATACAGACCAAAGGAACAGAACAGAGGCCTCAGAAATAACACCACACATCTACAACCATCTGATCTTTGACAAACCTGACAAAGACAAGCAATGGAGAAAGGATTCCCTATTTAATAAATGGTGTTGGGAAAACTGGCTAGCCATATGCAGAAAACTGAAACTGGACCCCTTCCTTAAAACTTATATAAAAATTAACTCAAGATGGATTAAAGACCGAAAGTAAGACCTAAAACTATAAAAACCCTAGAAGAAAACCTAGGCAATACCATTCAGGACATAGGCATGGGCAAAGACTTCATGACTAAAACACCAAAAGCAGTGGCAACAAAAGCCAAAATTGGCAAATGGGATCTAATTAAACTAAAGAGCTTCTGCACAGCAAAAGAAACTATCATCAGAGTGAACAGGCAACCTACAGAATGGGGGAAAATTTTTGCAATCTATTCATATGACAAAGGGCTAACATCCAAAATCTATAAAGAACTTAAACAAATTCACAAGAAAAAAAAACAACCTCATCAAAAAGTGGGCAAAGGATATGAACAGACACTTCTCAAAAGAAGACATTTATGTGGCCAACAAACATATGAAAAAAATCATCGTATGTTTTTTTCAACATCGTCTGGTCATTAGAGAAATGCAAATCAAAACAACAATGAGATACCATCTCACACCAGTTAGAATGGCGATCATTAAAAAGTCAGGAAACAATATGCTGGACAGGATGTGGAGAAACAGGAATTCTTTTACACTGTTGGTGGGAGTGTAAATTAGTTCAACCATTGTGGAAGACAGTGTGGCAATTCCTCAAGGATCTAGAACTAGAAATACCATTTCACCTAGCAATCCCATTACTGAGTATATACCCAAAGGATTATAAATCATTCTACTATAAAGACACATGCACACATATGTTTACTGCGGCACTGTTCACAATAGCAAAGACTTGGAATCAACCCATCAATGATAGACTGGATAAAGAAAATGTGGCACATATACACCATGGAATACTATGCAGCCATAAAAAAGGATGAGTTCATGTCCTTTGCAGGGACATGGATGAAGCTGGAAATCATCATTCTCAGCAAACTAACACAAGAACAGAAAACCAAACACTGCATGTTCTCACTAATAAGTGGGAGTTGAACAATGAGAACATATGGACACAGGGAGAAGAACATCACACACCAGGGCCTGTCCAGGGGTGGGCGGCTAAGGGAGGGATAGCTTTAGGAGAAATACCTAATGTAGATGACGGGTTGATGGGTGCAGCAAACCAACACAGCATGTGTATACCTATGGAACAAACCTGCACGTTCTGCACATGTACCCCAGAACTTAAAGTATAATTTTTAAAAAAGCCTTAAGTTCTTTTAATGTCACATTATTAAAAGTAAATTTACTTTAAAGCATGTTCTCCATTCCACAGAATTTTTTTAGAACATGTATAGACTTCTCTGGCAACCTGAGGGAAACTATGGAAGTACAAGCTTACTATAAAAGTTGCAGAAAATTTCAGAAAATTCAGGGTCTCCCTAAAGTCCCTCCATGAATTCCCAGGTAAAAAGAGAAGAGAAAAAATCAGAAAACGTACAGCCCATACTTGTGACTTATAGTTTACAGCTCTGCATGGAAGGTTGGGAAAGCTGAGTAAAAGGGAAAAGACCATTTTGCTACCTAATACCAAATCATACATGACAAGCTGGGAAATATACTCTACTTATCGAGAGTTAAGCAACATAGCAGGCTCAGGAGTCAGACTCCTGGATTTAGATTCCAGCTTTGCCTCTCACTAGCTCTGTGTCCTTGGGCAAGTTATTTTACTCCTCCATTACTTTCCCTTCTCTCTATATATATCCTCATCTGTAAAATGAGATAAACAGCACTTACCTCACAGGGATGTAAGGCTTAAATATGTTCACACTTGCATAAGGCATTTGGAATAGTAACTGGTACATGGTAACTGACTGGAAAATATTAGCTGTTATTGTTACCTTTAATGCCCTTCACTGTGTTTAGAATATTGTAAGAGGTCCCACACAGAGCATTCTGAATATAAAATTTCTTTTAATGATAGAGGATCATCGTTATGAGTATTAAATGTTATACTGGGCTACAGATACAGCTGGGTATATAAGATACTACTAAACTTAACAATCATAAACTGGCCTCCCTGTCTCATAGTCAAACTGTAGCCATACTTAGTATTTAGTGCAGTATTTCTTTAAATTTTGACTTACATGTCAACATTGAAAAATTAAAATATTTCATCTAAAAATTCAGATTTCTAGGTTCTCTTAAAAGCTGAAGATCTGGCAACACTGGACTTCATTACTGCACAGAAATGATTTACTAGCGTTTATGGAATTCTCTTGAGAAAGTAACTTTCAGTTCATGCTTTGCCCTCTTTTTCGTAAGAGCAGACTACAGAATATGTGAATATATTTTCCTCTTTCCTTTTTCAGAAAAAAATTTAACTTTATGAAAAGTTATCTATTGAAGGCTGAAGTTTCTCTTTATTTTCTCCAATCTTCTGTGACTCAATCAGCAACATTCAAAATATGTATTATTTTTTAAAACAAGTAAGATATACAACTTTCATTCATTCTCTTACTACCTACAAGCTACATTTTTAAACAAGCATGAAGGAAGAACATCTTACGTCTTTTCAATAATTTGAGAATTTAATTCAATTAATACAAATTATTTTTTTAATTTTTTTATAGAACTAAGCTTAAGCTTCAATAATATAAATTCTTTAATTGACATTTTAAAAAGAATCCACCTTTGATACTGTAACACCTGTACATCCTCAGTCTTTAGAAAGATTTCCACATCAAAACAAGAATACTAGGTCTGTCCTCTTTTGGTTTACAATTATGCTTGATTCTAGTGTATCAAGCTGACTTGACTTTTCTTGTTACTAAACTGAATTATGAGACACAGGAATTATATGGATAAGAGAATATGTTATATTCCTACCCCAAACCACTGTTTACAGTAATATGCCCTTTCACCATACTAAATATACAATAGTATGAATTTGAGAGATTTAACTGGTCCCTTAACATTTTTTTTTGAGATGGAGTCTTGCTCTGTTGCCCAGGCTGGAGTGCAGTGGCGCGATCTCTGCTCACTGCAAGCTCCACCTCTGGGTTCACGCCATTCTCCTGCCTCAGCCTCCCCAGTAGCTGGGACTACAGGTGCCCGCCACCACGTCCGGCTAATTTTTTGTATTTTTAATAGAGACGGGGTTTCACCGTGTTAGCCAGGATGGTCTTGGTCTCCTGACCTCGTGATCCATCCACCTCAGCCTCCCAAAGTGCTGGGATTACAGGCGTGAGCCACCGCACCCGGCCCAACATTTTATAATATGTACTGTAATTATCCATGATGCTATTTTCCAACTTATACTAAGATTTTAATCTTCTCTTCCTAATTTAGCACAAAATTTCTATATATTAACTTAGAATTTTATAATGTTCACAAATTAATAATGATCATAATCTAGTTCTCACCAAGTTGCTCTGAGGATTAAATGAGATAATGCATATACAAAATGTTTCTAATTTAATTTTGCCTTGTGAGTTTTATTACAGTATTAAATGACTTAGAGTTAAAACAAAATTCTACTATGCCTGCATTGCAAAATACAACAGACCAAAAAAAAGTGAAAGGAATAAAGCTATAATACAAATTTGACTGAATATTAAAACTATATAACTTCCCTAACTAATCAATTGTTATCTTATTTATGTCCAGGTTGCACAATTGTGCAAATTATAGTGATGCTAAGTAATAGCTATAGTTCTACTGCTTTATGCAGCATTTTTGTAATATTATTTGCTAATGAATTCAACACATTTATCTTTAATAGAATTTATGTTTACCTTTTACAAACTGAGCATGCACAATATAAAAAGTTATTTGAAAACATTCATTTATATGGCAGAGCCTACATATTTTATTGTACTATGAATTTATAGTATGAGCAACATGAAATCTTTTTTCTTTTTCTTTCTTTCTTTTTTTTTTTTTTTGAGATGGAGTCTCCCTTTGTTGCCAAGGTTAGAGTGCAGTGGCACAATCTCAGCTCACTGCAACCTCTGTCTCCCAGGTTCAAGTGATTCTCATGCCTCAGCCTCTTGAGTAGCCAGGACTACAGGTGTATGCCAGCACGCCTGGCTAATTTTTGTATTTTCAGTAGAGGTGGGGTTTCACCAGTTGGCCAGGCTGGTCTCGAACTCCTGACCTTAAGTGATCTGCCTGCCTTGGCCTCCCAAAGTGCTGGGATTACAGATGGGGGCCACCATGGCAAACCATGAAATTCATTTAGGCAAAAATATTAATTTGTTTGAGAATCAGGTATCAGCTCTCATTTTTTGGATGTATCAAACATGAAAGAATCACCTTAAAGCAGGGGTGGGCAAATATGGTCTGTGGGCCAAGAATAATTTTTGGATTTTATTCAAGTGTAAGAAGAATGAAAAAGAAAAAAGGAAGAAGACAGAAGCAACTACAGCAGTGGCAGTAGCAAAAGATACTGTATGTGGTCTGCAAAAAATTATTGATTATCCAGCCCCTTATGGAAAAAGTCTACAACCCTTCCTTAGAGTTATCTATTCATAAAGCAGTAAATAATCAACCAGCCAGGAATCTCTCTTACCTGTCCAAGTATTTGTGAAAAGGAAGTCTTAACTGTCACCTAGTTTAAAACAATTATTGAAAAAAAAGGTTATTTTCCTCTAAACTCCTTTACATTTTATTAAATTGAGCACTTATGCATATCTCTAAGCATAATAATTGATTTTCTATAATGGTAAACCTTAAAGGCACTCAAGATCTTAAAGAATCTTTTGAACCACCATGCAAATTGCATTAAAGTAGAGTGTTACTGTTTAGTATACTTTCCCACATATCTAATTATTTGACAGCTGAGTGAATGCTATTTTGCTCCTTTACTACCTAAAATATTTAATTAAGTAGAATATCTTATTACCATATCATGCCAGCTAAAGAAATTTAAGCCAAAATAATATTTTAAAAAGAAATTCATCCTTAATTATCTCTACCATAAATACAACTTTTTGATAATTAGGAAGTCTATTTGATATTAGAAAGGAGATAAATATTTTTAGGGAAGTTTAAAATGATTTTGTCAAAATATGGACTTCTTGAAGATATGCAGTATTTGTAAAAAAAATGGACATTTTGAGAGCATGCAGTAGTTGGAGTCAAATTTTTATCACAATTTTTTGTATTGCTTTAATATTATAAATATGAACATGCAAATTAAAAACTACTATGGCCCTGCAAAACCCTGAACTGTTAGAAACAGGATGCAAGATATCAAAGCAATAATAAATTCCATGAAATCTAAATTAATTCATAATATAAGTTCAACTGAAACTTGGCTGGAGGAACAGATTCTATTAATTTGACAAAATCAATCCTAGTTTATCCTTGAAAAGTTAGTTCTAACAAAGAATCCAAACATTTAAGCTTGGTTTAAAGCAGTTGAGCAGAAATAAAATATTTCACATAAACCAGAAGCCTATGTTGTCATAACCACTGAAATGAGTACTTTAACCACTTAAATCTGGAATCTAGGGGCTCTTCATTCATGAATCCATAAGTAACTAAAATGTTACTCTCAAGTCTATCCCCCTTAACACAAAGAGATGTACTTTGATTACAAAATAAACACAATAGGTATGAAATCACACATTTTAATGACTAGCAGAGCTTAAAATAATTAGTGAAAAGGAAAGAAGATCCTTAAGCTAACAACCAGTAGAGCTATACACCATTAAGTATCATGTCAGTTACTGCAGTAAGCCCATGTCAGCTGACCTCATGATGTTCTTCAATTTATAAAAAAGATTCTGGACTTGGGGCTTCCAAATTTAGAAGGTTAATCTACAGTCTCATTTTTTTGCTTTATCTTCTATTACTTATTAAGATGTATACATTTGCAAATGGCCCAGCTATGGAGATGCTAAGGTGGTGTTAATAGGAAAAATGAAGAATATTTAAAATATTTTAAATGCCTATTTTTTATATGCATTGGCTTCCATGCCACCATATATCTGAAGCTTATATAAAAAGAACATTTCTAGCTTATTCTACAACTAAATCTTAAAAATTAATCAAACATACAACTTACCTCGTACCGACAGTCTGATGACGTGTACATTTTAAATAATGCCACATGGGTATTGTTTTCTGGTTGAGCAATATGGAGTTTCAGAGAAATTTCTGTGGAAGATGGAGCCCTGAAGAGATAACTTAAATATCAATTCTCAAATACAAAATGCTGGTAAAGAGCCATGGCTAAGTTAATCCTCAGCACAATACAACTGAATAATGTAGAGGAAGCTAGGTGCCAGACACATAATTGTGGATGGGCACTTTTTCAATGATATCACAATTGTTTGAATGCTCCCTCTAGGACACAGGAGTTGCGAGAGGGTGGAAGGGGGTTCAGGTTCCAAGGAAGTAAAGTTTAAGTTCTCTATCATTTCATAAGAATACTATATATTAAATTATAGGAACAATGCTACATAAAGGATACATACATTTTACTGATGCATTTTAATAATTCATGATTTAAATAAATAAACTAAGCAGAATATCTATTATTCAAAAACACCAAAGTTTAAAGTAAATTCTTTCAAATACTTACTGTGCAATGGTTAGTGAATCTTCATAAGACCAAGGAATATGAAGTCTATAGATACTGGTTATTTCTTCTGTTAAAACATTTAAAAAATGTATTATTAACAACATGTTACCCTAAATGTTACATAAACTACTATAATATCTAACTAATTATACAATTGTCCATTTCATTAAAAAAATCAGTACAGGTTATATTACATGATAAAAAATTATGGCGAATTCCTAAATAATAATGCTTTAATTAGATTTATAATAGATATTACAGCAGATAGCCAGTATTAAGAAAGTGGAAAAATACTAAATAACTAAATCTGAATTACTACTATAAGACATAAAGATATATGGCATTTTTAAAATGTGGATATTTAAACTGAAACAGATAAAAATGCTTTACTGTTAAGAAAGGGTCTATGTTAAATCCCCTGGAAATATAAACAACCTGTTATAAATTTAATTTTACTTCACATAAAAATATATGGAAGAATAAGTATTATAGAAAATTTGAGTTAACACCTATTGAGTCTTCAAATGACAATATTATTTTCTATACATTTTTTAGAAAACATATTTACCTTTGACTGCTGAGCACTTGCTTACCACGTTGATTTTAAAAGCTTGGTATATCTAATAGAGTTTGACCACAAAAACAAAATATAAAGGTTTACTTGTATGTTAAAGTAAACATTAAAGTAAAATCAAATCCTTTTTCTTGTAGTCAGGATTAATTACCTGTCCAAAGTTCAGAAGCTCTAGATTGTAGTATAGGCCATTTGTATTTAACACCACTTTCCTTGAAGACAATCCTGTTGAATTCAAAGTACTGTATTACTTAGAATATCAAGGAAGTTTTTAAAAACATACTGATTATTTAATTAGCATTAAGACAATGCCAATAATTAAAAATTTATTTACAGGTTTTCACTTCTGTATGGAGTTAACTCCTAAAAATCTAATCTCCCAGCAATAAACTCTAGACAAAATAAATTTTATTACTTCCAATCACATCTATCTGCTTTTAAAAAAGTCAGGTATATAATTCCAATTTCAGAAAGGTGTACTTTCTTGGTAGATCTTTTATTTTACAAGCTTCTTATCTTCAATGATATGGGTGATTCAGAATTGTCATTTCTGTATTGTTCTGGGTAGTTTTGTACCAAAACAAAGGGTAGGGGGAAAAATAAAAATCCTAAAGTTTTGCCAAGTAACACAGATTCTTTTCATAAATAAAATGTAAAAAAAATATTTAAAGGGCACAGGAGCCAACATAAAAAAGTTCCCAATATTCAAAGCTAGAATAACTTAAGCAAAAATATATATAATGATAGAATTGGATTATAGCCCAATGAATAAAATAGATACCTCTGAGTCCATAGTGACATAAATAAAAATTGAATAAATAAATAATGGGGGAGAAGGGTCTACTTTATCTCAGGAAGAATTCCACTAAATGTAGAATACCAGAGTGATATTTGCTAAGTACTAGATGAACCAATGGATGCTAAAAATAGTGGGTTATTCTAAAGAAAAACAGGACATTTATATATTCTCAAAGTATGTCACCCCAGATATTTATTAATTACAAAAGGAAAAAGCAATAACATTATAGCAGAGAAATCTAGCAGGCACCACCTTAACCAAGAAAGGAAAATTAACATAACTAGTAATTAGAGATATCAGTATCACGTATACTCAATATGATATAGTAGGAAATCCTCATTGCTTCTGTGGTATTTTGGCAAAAATACATAACCTCAATCTAATCATAAGAAAGTATTAGGCTGGGCACGTTGGCTCATGCCTGTAATTCCGGCATTTTGGGAGGCCAAGGCATGCTGATTTCTTGAGTCCAGGAGTCTGAGACCAGCCTGGGCAATATGGTGAATCTCTGTCTCTACAAAAAATACAAAAAAATTAGCTGAGCATGGTGTCACATGCCTGTAGTCCTAGCTACTCAGGAGGCTGAGGTGGAAGGATCGCTTAAGCCCAGGAGGCAGAGGTTGCAGTGAGCTGGGATCATGCCACTGTACTCCAGCCTGGGTGACAGAGTGAGACCCTGTTCCCCACTCGCCCCACAAAAATGAAACAGACAACTCCAAATAAGGAACATTGCACAAAATAATTGAACAGTATTCTTCAAAGGTTTCAAAGTTGTGAAAGACAAGGAAAGACTGAGGAACTGTCACAGATTATAGGAGACTTAGGAGTCATGACAACTAAATGCAATGTGGAAACCTGGATAAGCAGGACATCTGTGGAAAAACTGGTGAAAAACAAATAAAGCCTGTAGTTTAATTAACAGTATTGCACCAATGCTAATTTCTTAGTTTAAAAAAATTGTATTGTGTTTATGTAGAAGGTCAACCTTAGGGAAATGTGGGTGAAGGATATACAGGAACTCTTTTGTAACTTTTCTGTAAATCTAAAATTATTTCAAAATAAAGTTTAAAAGAATATTTAGAGAAATCTTGAAACCTTCTTATACAAATAATTTATAACTCTATATTAAAATTGTATTAATAAGGGCCAATAGGATAAATTTCACATAAGAACAGACACACAGACACATAGATACACACACGCAATTACCTGCAAATGTATGTGATTATGGAAGTTCACTTCTCAGAATATGACTGCTAGCCCAATGAGAATAAAACCACTGAACCACATCATATAGTTATTCTAAGAACTATACTTGAAATATTCAACATTTGATATTACAAAGCTCTGCTTTACTGCAACTCTGTTAAAAATAAAAGCAATTCTTATGCTTTCCAAAAACAAAGTACTTACCAAAGGAAAAAAGATGAGTTACAGGAAGCTGTATGTATCTTTTCTCTTTTTTAAAGAATTCACAATCTACAACAAACTGAAATATAAAACATTGATTTATTAGAAAAAGTAAGTTAAATTTACAGTAAAGTATCTTTACTTGATGTTTGAGTGGAAAATAAAAGTCTATAAACCTCAGCTTTGGAGAAAGTATCATCTATTACACTATAATTCTGCCTATACTTAAGTGGCAAGAATTTCTCAAGGAGAGATACTATGCTGAGAAAACTTGATATACAAGCCTAACTTAATAGATAAATTATTCGAGGGCCATTTCTAGAACAACAGATTCATAGCAGTTTTTTTATAGTTAGCTTTAGGTGTTTGCATAAGAAGGACAGTAAAGGATGGATGAAAGTATTATCAGCCTAGGCTAATTCAAGATTAGTTAAAGATTTAGATACTATGTCTCTTAATACTTTCATAGTCAAAAGGAAAATGTGATTTTGTTTTATATCTTTTTGAAAAATCCTGTATTTATTAAAGATAGTCTAATTAGACTATAAAAGCCTGCTGGAGAAATACTGCCATTCATTGACACATGGCTAATGTTATTTGTGGAACACTATTTCAGGTTAAACAGTTATCACAGTAAGTGGAAAAAAGGTTTACTATGTATGAAGCCAGAAAAAGAAATGCTTTTCAAAAAAGTAAAACTATAATGTGACACTTGCATCATTATAATTTTTTGTAGTGACATTTCTTTTTAAATAACATTTCTATTAGCTGCATAAGAAACTCTGCTCTCACTTATCTGCAAGAACTGTTTCTGGTAAAGGAATAATTTCATTAAAATAATCTCTACAATGCAATCATATTATTTTGATCTACGGAAGCTAAAGAAAAATTAATCTGATGCATAACTGTAGCTAGCAAGTAGTTTGCTGTCTACAAAAGTGGAAAGCTAGTGGGGTCTATCCTAGGCTTTTCTAATAACTATACTTTGGATTTGTCTGAAGCAGTGTTACTTTGTTTGCCTCTTGGGTAGATTTTTGATTGTTTTCAAAAGTGAAAAACAGACAGGGAAATTGCTATTAGATTAATCCATACACTTGGGGGAATAAAAGAAAAAACTTTTAAGGGGTTTTGCTTTATTTCTCCCTCCTTACAAGGCAAAGAACACAGTCAGATATTTTCATTATAGAAAACAGCTGCTAAAAGATTATAGCAATCATTTATTGAACAGGATTACTCATTACATTTTTTACAAAGTACTTTTGGATAAGCCTATATCAGACAGGGAAGCAGTTTTTAAAAGCAATTTCATTACTTTGAACAAGTTTAAAATAATATAATTTTTATTATTGCTTTAAAAATTTGGCTATGCCTTTAGTTTTGCATAATGACAAAAACCCTACCCAAGAAAGAGAAAATTCAAAGGCCTGTCTCTGAAACACCCACGATAAGTAAATTTCTAATGGGTTTAATTATTTTGTTTTCTGTTACAAAAAAATGCAGATAAATTCCATATTTGCATTTCTAAAAATATACTGACAGAAGTTGACTCAAAAATGTTTTACACTATTTGAATATATGTCATGTTCTGATGATGAGCTATACATAGACATGCAAAAATTATGAAAGACTTAAGTTATAATTCTAGTGAGATGGGGTTGTACAACAGTAGAGTCAGCAGTGTTACTTTCCAAAGAGCATTAAGATGCATTACATATTTATTAGGCTGCTAAGACTGTCTATTTGCAGAAAGACTCATCAATTTCTTGGAATAACCAGAGAGGGCCTTTTCAAGTTTGAGAAAAATGTTAGATTCATTCAAAACCAGCTTACCTGCCAGAAAAACCCTTTAAGAGAGGTTTTAGTATTGCAGATGCTGAATTACCTCTTACTTGAGCTAAGCAAAACAGAACAATGAATCCATTATAAGGTACTTGTGAGATTTAGTCATTGAGATGACTCCCAACTACATCCCCCTTTTCCTTTCTCTATTTCTCCTACATTTTTCTGATTATTTTGGCTACAAATCTTATGAACCTTCTCAGTCAATAAACATTTTCTTGAGCATTTATGCAGTAGTCACTGAAGGTTGAGGATGCAAAGTAGAATAAAACCTATCTGTTCATTACTCTTAAAGAGTTCACAATGTGGTCATGGCAACTGAGACATAAATAAATTATAATTCAATATAATAAATTTTTCAAAGAAGTTATAAAGTATCATGAGAATAAGTAAAAGATTACTGGGGGACTCTGGAAAAGGGAAAAAGGGACATGGGTTGGATCTTGAAGAGTAAGTTTGCTGGGTGAAATAGGAAAAGGGGAGTCCGAAGGGCCCTTTACCTCCATTTTCTTTCTTACCCACTAATTCTATCAAAATCACCATTCTTTTCTTTCTATTCCCACTTCCCTAGTACAAGCTGAGGATCCCTCATCCAAAATGCATGGAACTAGAAGTGTTTGATTTTTTTCAGATTTTGGAATATTTGCCTATACATAATCACATATCTTGGGGATGGAACCCAAGTCTAAACACAAAACTCATTTATGTTTCATACATATCTTACACACTTAGTCTTAAGGTAATTTTTATATTTTTAATAACTTTGTGCATGAAACAAAATTTTGACTGTTTTGACTACATCTCACCACATGAGGTCAGGGGTTGAATTTTCCAATTGTGGTGTCAGGTTGGCACTCAAAAAGTTTTAGATGGCGCGTCCTCATTATTATAGCAATGAGTATCCCCACCTGTCAGAAAGTTTTTAGAGTTTGGATTTTTGGATTAAGGGTGCTCAGTCTGTACAAACCCCTTATGAGGTACCTAGTCTGTTTCTGATCTATTCTACAGCATAAGGAGATTAATCTTCCCAAATAAATGATTTCTGATACCATTACTACTATAGTTAAAAATCTTATGGCTTCCTACTGACTTCTGAATTCCATAAAGTCCTGAATCCTCCAATCAAAACTTTCACAATATGGCCATGAACTAATTTTCCAGACTTTTCCTCCACTACTATTCAAACCCATTGTGGCCATCCTTTCAAAATTATTATTTACTTATTCACTGTTTTTCAAATATACTTCATGCTTTGCTCTGTTGCTTTGTCTAAACAGTGCTGTCCATTATAACTCCTGGCAATGATGTCACTATTGAGCATCTGGAATGTGACTAGGACAATTAGGGAACAGAATTTTTTATTTTATATTAACTTAAATTGAAATAACCACATGTGCTAGTGATTCCTGTATTGACAGCATGGCTCTACAATGTTCATTCTTCCTATAAAAATCCTAACTACCCATTAAGGCCATTTTGTTTTATTTTATTTCATTTTAAAAGTGGGGTCTCATTATGTTGACCGGGCTGCAGTACAGTGGCTATTCACAGGCATAATCATAGCATACTACAACCTCTACCTCCTGGGTTCAAATGATTCTCCTGCTTCAACTTCCCAAGTAGCTGGGATTACAGGTACTTGCCACCATGCCTACTTGAAAGCCATTTTAAATATCACCTTATTATAATGCCATTCTTTTTATGTACTTGCTATATTCTGATTTGTGTTATGTGTATTTGGGTAGTTCTTTTTCCACTCTTCCCTCTGCTCCAGTTACATTTCTCTCCCCCTTCCCAATAGTATGTAGCTTTTTAAGAACAGGGTCTTGTCAGCCAGGCGCGGTGGCTCACACCTGTAATCCCAGCACTTTGGGAGGCCAAGGTGGGCGGATCACCTGAGGTCAAAAGTTCAAGACCATCCTGGCCAGCATGGCAAAATCCCATCTCTACTAAAAATACAACAATTAGCTCGGTGTGGTAGCATGCGCCTGTAGTCCCAGCTACTTGGGAGGCTGAGACAGAAGAATCACTTGAACCCAGGAGGTGGAGGTTGTAGTGAGCCAAGGTTGCGCCACTGCACTCCAGCCTGGGTGACAGAGCAAGACTCTTTCTCAAAAAAACAAAACAAAACCAGGGTCATGTCTTCATTTGTGTGCCTCCTATAATTCCTGGTACATAGCCTTATACTTAAAGGGTACCTAATAATTCATAGGTTTTGCACCTATGAATTATTATTATGTGCCTAATAATTCATAGATTTTGAAAGACTGATTGATAAACTGGAACCAGTTCTCACTTGGAACAAAGAAACTTGGGTTCATTCTGCTTAGTTCAAGTTAGAGTAGATGATCCTAATAATTTAACAGTCTTAGGTGGATCATCAAACTGGCTACTGTTTTAGATAAACTGTGCAGAAAAACTCATTGAAAAAGAACTGTAAAATTTAGCATGTGTCTCCAAAACATTCTAATAACAATCTTAACCCACTTGTTACCTTACTTCCACGAACAGATGGTACATAAACAACAAGATGAGACAAAGATGGATAGTCTTGAAGTCTTAATGTCAGATACTAAAATAAAAAAAAAAGAAACTACTTTTATTTCTTAGAGATTAATGCATGTTTAAAGAAAAATAAATAACACTTATTTCTTACTTAATTCGTTATCTTAAAAAGCAGGCTTCCAATTTATGTTCAGTACTTCATAAAATGCCCATGTTTACATTTCCAGGTCAATAATCCTGTTGAAAATCAAGTTCCTAATAATTATTATGTTAAATAGGAACTGCCAAAAATATTCTTTGGATCCCTTCATATAAAACAAATGACATTTAACATTAAATTTAATTATTATCTATAATTATTTCCAAATTTGGTGTCTTTCTTTTTATAATTTGGTTATTTGTTACATATAGTATCACAGTATTGTTTCTACATTTATTTTGGTAGTATATAACACAAAACATTCAATAGCTGATGAATGAATAAATGCTAAATATAATGAAAGAGTTACAATTTAATCTCAAATTATTTTGATCTAGCCCAAGTAGTAAAGAGTTGCTGTCTAATGGCATATCTGCACATCATCCCCTGGAATTTATTTAGCAAATGATAAAGACAAGTATGTCTAAATAATGCACCTCACCAAATAAGTAATTATTTATTTCTCAAAATTAAGACCAGTCCTATAGTCCATATTTTGAGGAATGAATTGGTAGAAGACTGCTCTATTTAATGAAAAGCCAAGGCACCAAATACAGGTTTTTTTGTTTTCTTTCTTGTTTTAATTTAACTTTTATTTTAAGTTCAGGGATAGATGTGCAAATTTGTTACACAGGTAAACTTGTGTCATGGGGGTTTGTTGTACAGATTATTTCATCACCCAGGTACTAAGCCTAGTTACCCACTAGTTATTTTTCCTGATTCTCTTCCTCCTCCTACTCTCCACCCTCCAATAGGCCCGAGTGTGTGTTGTTCCCCCTACATGTCCATGTGTTCTCATCATTCAGCTCCCACTTATAAGTGAGAAGATGCAGCATTTGGTTTTCTCTTCCTGCATTCATTTGCTAAGGATAATGGCCTCCAGTTCCATCCATGTTACTGCAAAGAACATGATCTCATTCTTTTTTATGGCTGCATAGTATTCCATGGTGTATATGTAATACATTTTCTTTATCCAGTCTACTATTGATGGGAATTTAGGTTGATTCCATGTCTTTGCTATCATGAATGGTGCTGCAATGAACACACATACATGTGTCTTTATAATAGAATGCTTTATATTCCTTTGGGTATACACCCAGTAATGGGATTACTAGGTCAAATGGTATTTCTATTTTTAGGTCTTCAAGGAATCTCCACACTGTCTTCCACAATGGTTGAACTAATTTACACTCCCACTAACAGCATGTAAGTGTTCCTTTTTCTCTGCAACCTCGCCAGCATCTGTTATTTTTTGACTTTTTAATAATAGCCATTCTGACTGGTGCGAGATAGTATCTCACCGTGGTTTTGATTTGCATTTCTCTAATGGTCAGTGATGTTGAGCTATTTTTCCATATAATTGTTGGCTGCATGTATGTCTTCTTTTGAAAAGTGTCATTTCATGTCCTTTGCCCACTTTTTAATGAATTGTTTTTATCTTGTAAATTTGTTTAACTTCCTTATAGATGCTGGATATTAGACCTTTGTCGGATGCAGAGTTTGCAAAATTTTTCTCCCATTCTGTAGGTTGTCTGTTCACTCTGTTGATAGTTTCCTTTGCTGTGCAGAAACTTTTTAGTTTAATTACATCCCATTTGTCAATTTTTGCTTTTGGTATCAACATCATGAAATCTTTGCCCATTCCTATGTCCAGAATGGTATTACCTAGGTTGTTTTCCACATTTTTTATAGTTTTGGGTTTTACACTTGTTTTTAATCCATCCTGAGTTAATTTTTGTATATGGTGTAAAGAAGAGGTCCACTTTCAACCTTCTGCATAAGGCTAGGCAGTTATCCCAGCACCATTTATTGAATAGGAAAACTTTTCCCCATTGCTTGTTTTCGTCAAGTTTGTCAAAGGTCAGAGAGTTGTAGGTGTGTGGCTTTATTTCTGGGTTCTCTATCCTGTTCCATTGCTCTATGTGTCTGTTTTTGTACCAGTACCATGCTGTTTTGGTTACTGCAGCCCTGCAGCATAGTTTGAAGTCAAGTAGTGTGATGCCTCCAGCTTTGTTCTTTTTGCTTAGGATTGGTTTGGCTTTACTGAGCTCTTTTTTGGTTCCATATGAATTTTAAAATAGTTTTTTCTAGTTATGTGAAGAATGTCCATAGTAGTTTAATAGAAATAACACTGAATCTATAAATTGCTTTGGACAGTATGGCCATTTTAATGCTATTGATTCTTCCTATCCATGGTCATGGAATGTTTATCCATTTGTTGATGTCATCTCTGATTTATTTGAACAGTGTTTTGTAATTCTCCTTGTAGAGAACTTTTATCTCTCTGATCAGTTGTATTCCTAGGTCTTTTATTCTTTTTTTGGCAATATTGGATGGAACTACATTCCTGATTTGGCTCTTGGCTTGACTGTTGTTGGTGTCAATAGGAATGTTAGTTATTTTTGCACATTGATTTTGTATCATGATAATTTGCTGAAGTTGCTTATCAGCTTAAGGAGCTTTTGGGCTGAGACGATGGAGTGTTCTAGATATAGGATCATGTCATTTGCAAACAAAGATAATTTGACTTCCTCTCTTCCTATTTGGATGCCCCTTATTTCTTTCTCTTGCCTGATTGCCCTGGCCAGGTCTTCCAGTACTATGCTGAATAGGAGCGGTGAGAGAGGGCATCCTTGTCTTGTGCTGGTTTTCAAGGGGAATGCTTCCAGCTTTTGCCCATTCAGTATGATGTTGGCTGTGGGTTTGTCATTAGATGGCTCTTATTACTTTGAGATATGTTCCTTCAATACCTAGTCTACTGAGAGTTTTTAACATGAATGGGTGTTGAATTTTATCAAAAGCCTTTTCTGCATCTATTGAGATAATGATGTGGCTTTTGTCTTTAGTTCTATTTATGTGATGAATCACCCAAATACAGTTTTTAATCGAGTTTTGTTCTGGAAGTATGTGTGGGGTGGGAGTAGTTATATGTTCTAACAATATGTTTGCACTAAACATTTCTAAAGACACTTAGCTTTCCCCAATCTTCTTGAGAAGCACCAATGTGGGCAAGGAGGACAGAGATGCTCAAGCTAAAGAACCATTAATGAGTAGCCTTCTAACAATCTGACCAGATTCATGTGGGATGTTTATCAAACATAAACTCCTGGGCTTCACCCCGACTTAGCAAAGTCCCTGTGACAGACTCATATGTTCTAATGTAAATTAAAGAGCCTTAAAAGGGCCACATAAGCCACAGCTACAGGCAGCTAAGACCCACCAGACAAATGGTAGCTAATATGAAACATTAATTAGGAAGAACTTGGATAATC